>NC_000008.11:5198846-5501131 GCF_000001405.40 Homo sapiens | reverse complement strand
TGAATTCTGCCATAATAATCCCCAAGATTTTGGCTTCATATTTTGCACTGTAAGTTCTCATTCTCAGAAAACTATTTTAGGAGTACTGGCAAACAATCTTTTTCAAGTGAGGTTGTGAGAAATGTTTCATTTTTTCATATACGAACATCTTTAAAAATTAATTTTAGTCCAGTAATCTCTCATAAAAAAATTTCTCCTAAATATATAAGCATCATGGTGAAGTACAATTTTTGTCATTCACATTCCATTGCTATCATGAAATGTGTCTGGGGTCCTTTTCCAAAAATTTTCTCTGAAGGACTGATCAAGAAGCAAAGCAATTTCCCCAAGAATGCCAACAGACCATTTTCTTAAAATGCAGTTTATTACTCTCCAAAGCATAGTAAGTTTGTTATTTACTTATACAGTTACTCTTCTCAGGGGATATTCTAGTATTTAAACCATTCAAACTCACATCCTATATGAGAATCAGAGGAAGTCACGTGGAATAAAAAGTTATTTGATAAAATATTTCTATGACATTGTTCACAAAGTAAATTAACCGTTAGTTATTTATGTATCAGGCACTATATGACAGTTGTGTTGGAAACTGCCAGCATTTTATCGGAAGAGCAAAGCAGGCACGGAATGTGGATCTCTCACAATGATGTCATGCAAGGATCTTTGTCTCATGATGCATTCTCCACACTTGGAATGATGACCTGCATGTCAGTGCCTCAGAAAATATTTGTTGAATGCGATATGTTGATGTGACCTTAGTTGTTTGATGTGGACGGCTATTCTCCTAGACAATATACTTCCAAGCCAAAGGCCATACCATGATTTGATGTTTATATTCATATAGTACATATATTACATGTTGATTACCAGCAAGTTGACATTTATAAAGACGTGCTTTCAATTACAAGATCAAATCAATCATTTTGGGGGCATAAAGAGCAATGAAACAGAAAATGTCAGTAGAAGCCCAGCCTAATAAAGCAGGAAACGTTCAGAATTGGAGATTCTTCCAGCCAGTGAGAATTAACACACTTGATGAGACTCACCATCACAAATTATTGTTTTTCTAACATTTTTCCACATTTGCCACTTCCAATTATGTAATTCTGAATTTCCTAAAAATAACAACATGCATAATAACCATGCCATTATGACATCCAAGTTAACATTAACTCAACAATATGTTCATAATTCTATACAGCCTACATTAAAATTTTTCTAAGTGCTCCAAGATGTTTCTCTAAAAATATTTTTAATAAAATCATATAATTCATGATCCAATCCTATTTCATGCGTTCTCCTGGAAATTTTGATGTGCTTCTCAGATTCACCTTTAAGATTAAAAGATGTATATCCTTCCAGTTGCCAGAAATATTCCAACAGTCCTCCCAGAGTATTGTTCTTAGCTTAAAAGAGCACACCTCTTTATAAGAGAATGCATACATATGTTCATTGAAGCACAATTCACAATACCAAGGACACGGAATCAACCAAATGCCCATCAGTGATAGACTAGAGAAAGAAAATACACATATATACCATGGAATACTATGCAGCCATTAAAAGGAGCAAGATCATGTCCTTTGCAGGGATATGGATGGAGCTGGAAGCCATTATCCTCACCAAAACTAACACAGGGACAAAAATCTGAACACTGCATGTTCTCACGTATAAGTGGGAACTGAACAAAGAGAACACATGGACACAGAGACGGGAACAACATATAGTGGGGCCTGTCTAGTGGGGGAAGGAGGGGTGAGACAAAAAAAGAACATATTTCAATCAAGGCTTGTGCTCTACCTCCGCTTCCGATCAGTTTCCTAGGGATGCTAACTTGTAACACACCTCGCATTATGTTTATGATTCTGTAGTGTATTAACCTTTTAAATTCCTTCAGCTTTCTTTCTGCTTTTAGTGACATTGATATTTTGGAATAGTCCAGGCAATTCAGTTCATAGAATGTCTCGGCTGTGTATTTCTCCTTATGAACAAGTTCAGGGTAATCATTCCAGATAAGTACATCACATAGTTGATATTGCGTTAGTTCTTTTCACATCACATCAGGAGACACATAATGTCAGATTGCCCTGTGACTTCATGACTAGTGACATGAAGTTGGTCAATAGAGTAAGAAGGGCAGTGTGGTGGCCATCAGAGCTTCTCACTTTAGAGATATATTATGGAGTGAATGTTTGTGTCTCCCCAAAATTTATCTGTTGAAGCCCTAACCCCTAATAGTGTGGTTTTTTTGAAAGATGGGGACTCTAAGAAAGTAATTAAGATTAAATGAGTTCATGAAGGTGAGGCCCTCATGACGGGATTAGTGCCCTTATGAGATGAGGCACCAGACAACTTGCTGCCCTTTTCTCTTCCCACCATAGGGAGACACAGTGAGGAGACTGCCATGTACCAGTGAGAAAAAGAGCCTTCTCCAGGACCCAACCATGCTGCTTCCTTGATCTTGGACTTCCAGCCTCCAGAACTATGTGAAAATAAGTTTCTGTTATTTCAGCTGGCTCGTCATCCACAGTATTTTGTTATGGTAGCCCAAGCAGAATGATATAGATGCGTTTTCCTCTTTTGTTTTTAATCTCTGCAATGGTACTTTCAACATGTGCTGGTAATCTATTTTATAACAATTATCCACCCAATGGTTTTATTATCCATAGTTAATTCTATCCTGAAATACTTATTGCTTTGGGGAATTTGAAAAATAATTATTTTTATGCTATCCATTTTTCTACATTTAGCAATTCAAATGCTTCTGTAAATTAGAGCTTACTCTTGTTCTTCTTGTCTCTTTCTCTTTCCCTCCCCATTTTTCAATCTCTCTCTTATTTTCTATCTCTCGATATTACCATGCACTCATTGATTCATTTTTTAATTCAATTCATTACAATATTTTAACAAAATTGTTATTTTGCTGCTTAAATTGACCCATGTGTCCAAGTAAGAGAATACCTTAAAGGCAGTTCCTAAGACCTTCGCTTTCAGGCATGAAAAGATCCTCCATTGTTTAGGTCTGAAAGTTTATGTACAAAACCCTAGGATGCCAATTTCTCCCCTCCAGCACGTGAAGTGTCCCATCCATTGTTTCCTAGTTTCCATTGTTCCTGTTGAAAAGTCAGCTATCCCTGACAGTATTAAGCTTTTTCTTTTTTATCTGGCTTCTTGAATACGAAAAAATACATTTTATAGATTTTTTTTAATTAATTTTTTTATTATTATACTTAAAGTTTTAGGGTACATGTGCACATTGTGCAGGTTAGTTACACATGTATACATGTGCCATGCTGGTGTGCTGCACCCATTAACTCGTCATCTAGCATTAGGTATATCTCCCAATGCTATCCCTCCCCCCTCCCCCCACCCCACAACAGTCCCCAGAGTGTGATGTTCCCCTTCCTGTGTCCATGTGATCTCATTGTTCAACTCCCACCTATGAGTGAGAATATGTGGTGTTTGGTTTTTTGTTCTTGCGATAGTTTACTGAGAATGATGATTTCCAATTTCATCCATGTCCCTACAAAGGACATGAACTCATCATGTTTTATGGCTGCATAGCATTCCATGGTGTATATGTGCCACATTTTCTTAATCCAGTCTATCATTGTTGGACATTTGGGTTGGTTCCAAGTCTTTGCTATTGTGAACAGTGCCGCAATTAACATACGTGTGCATGTGTCTTTATAGCAGCATGATTTAGTCCTTTGGGTATATACCCAGTAATGGGATGGCTGGGTCAAATGGTATTTCTAGTTCTAGATCCCTGAGGAATCGCCACACTGACTTCCTCAATGGTTGAACTAGTTTACAGTCCCACCAACAGTGTAAAAGTGTTCCTATTTCTCCACATCCTCTCCAGCACCTGTTGTTTCCTGACTTTTTAATGACTGCTATTCTAACTGGTGTGAGATGGATTAAATGCATGTAACGGAAGCTATGGAAGCAATAGAGAGAAAATGTATGAGAAGTAATTTAGAAAGAGATAATATCCAAGAATTCTCACAGCAACCTCATGGAGCTAATGACATCTCCAACATCATACAACAGACAAAGGATGTTCCTAGTTTTGAAACCCAAACCACTAAACTCCATAGCCATTCTCTAAATTAACACCTTATAGAACAGCACCAGGTTCCTGCTGCTCTTACCTTTAACATATGTCAATTTATCAGTCTCTCAAGGGAATTGCCAATCTCTTAACCCATATGGCCACTTCTCCTTTAAATCTCACTGCACATAAGCTTGGTGCTTTCACATTTACTCATTATACTGTAGCTGAGGCAACTAGATCAACTATAAATAAGATTATTAAAGGCCACATTAAATATGTGGATTTTTACTCTAATGACAGCAGAAAGCCACCGAAATCTTTCAATTATCCATGATGTTTCTGTTATGCTTCACTTTGACTTCTTAATTAAGATGCAAGTTTAGTGAAGATCATCTCTGTCTTGTTATCAGCGTAGTCCTGGCCCCTAGTACCTTATTCTACAAGAAGAAGCTTAATAAATACGTTGTGACTGGATAAATGAATAAATTATACACAGATACTGTCATTAAGCACCTTTCAATATAGCTTTACCATATTTTTATTTTTGTTTTCATGTTAATTCTCAGTTTTTAAGCAAAACTGACTCATAAAAGCTCTGTATCAATTCCTGTTATCAACAATAATGTCTGCTAGGATCAGCATAATATGCCTTTCCTTCTAGCCCCAGGACAACCTGGGGCAAGATACACCAACTCTCGCAGCTCACCCCAAATTGCACATTACTCATGCTTCCCTGCACATTATTTATTATACTTCACTTTGACAAAAGCTTTGTGACTTCAAACAATTGTTTAGTGGGGAGACCTGGTGTCACAATGAGACCAATTACTCCTCAGCAAGCATTCTCAGGTGAAGCAGCTGTTCTACTCCCTTCTTTAATTTGCAATTTATTATGGAGTAAAGTTTTTGCTAAGTCTCTACTTGCAGACACCACTGACAAAGTTAGATTCAGATTATGTTGAGGATATACTCTTTTTCACTGTAGGGCTGGCCACGTATAATGATATCATTGAACTCAGAAAGGTAAGGAATATACCATGCCTTGTAAACCGAATTTGGTTTTCTTCACCTAAGGATTTACAATCAGTTCCGAAATGACTTCAATTTACAATTGCTGAAAAATGATATCAACTTATAACGGCCGTGTAAAGTCATGAAAGTCAGATTATGTTAACATCATTTTCTTTTCTAATGCTCACGTTTTATGAGTCTAAATTATGAATCCCTTAGTAACTACAACTCTTTCTCATAAATAAAAGTGGTGAATCCTGCTTCTATATGGTACTGTTTCTGTTATATAATAACTATTTCGAGTCTATCAAAGGTTGTGGAAGGACTGTAATTGTGAATTTCTTGACTTCTGCAACATGAAAATCATAGCACAAAACAACCCCAGGGGTTGCTTTATAATCCTAACACGGGAAGAAAAGTCATTGCACCTTCTGGCTCACATCTAATTTATAGCAAATTATCTAGCAGCACCACTGCCTTTTTCATGGTGAAATCATATTATGGATAGTTTAAAGATTCTAAGAAAACTTGAACTATGTGGAGAGATACTGTACCATAAACAAATGTCACTATAATAAATTACATATTTATTTAATGACTATGCTAACTGAACTTATAATAATTATTATCATAGATGCAAAGTAGGTAAATATAAGGAAAATTATGAGTTACATAACAACAGTGCAACCCTAGGCCCAATTACTACGTTGCTTAATTAACAGATGAATTCACTTACTTTGAAACGGTCTAAATTGTCCTTAAACAGTTATAAACAAATGTATGTAACTCTACAAAAAGGCATAAAAGGGATTCCATAATATTGTTTAGTTCTCAGCGTTCCTCTCTGAAGCTTTTTTCTCCGTCTCTGTGTAGTTTGGGCTACCTGCAAATATGATGGCTCTGAGTATTTTGACTTTTTACATAAAAACTGGCTTCCAAGGCAGAATTATAATCTGACAGAATCCCAATGGCCTGGTCTTGGAAGTCAGAGCATCACATCCACTGCATTCTGTTGGTGAAACCAAGTCACAAGCCAGCTCACATACAACAGGAAGGGACGTGCACTCCAGCTGTTAACATGAGCACTGCCATACTGCCAGAAGGAGGAAAGGATTCTGGGTCCATCTTTGAAAACTAACACAAGGCTAAAAATAGTCATGATTATAAGGATGAAAAAAATAACTATACTTACTGGGTTGGAAAAGGGATGAGTGAGTAAAGAATGTCTGATAAAAGAATAAAATTTACTAGATATGATTTATAATTGCAGTATTTACACTCAAGATTTTTCAAGTTGGGATGCTGGTGTGAGGCTTGTTGGCTGGTAGAAGACAGTCAGAGAACTCTCTGGCTCCTGATTGGGCTGCTGGCAGAGAGATACTCCCTTGTCAGCCCCTGGGGAAAAGGCCTGAGCTGAAGGGCCGTCTCATGAATGAGGTCACTTCCCTCTATCACACATGTGGGTGCATAAAAGCCTGGCCCCTCCCTCAGCAGGAAGACAATGCTGAAGGATCCTCTCAGTTCCAGCTCTCCCCCTAGGAGGGGCTGAAGTCCCCCCAGAGCCCACATCTCAACACAACTTTTCTCTCCACCTAATCCTATGTCCACAGGTTTTAATCCCAAAAGCAATCCTAATCCTCCTCTCCCACACTCATCTCTGGCTCAGAGTTGGCTTCTTTGGGATCCCAGCCTGCTACGGTTGGTATAAAAGTTATATAAGACAGCAAGCAGTAACTTGGATGAAATCTTGGAGCCAGCTGACACACTGATTAGCCTCTGCTTGGCTGGCAATGAAGATCCCATATCCAGTGGACACAGAAAACTTCTGGCACCAGGTGATGTCCAGTTGTTGAAATTTTGGAAAACACAAATGGTTTCTTCATGGAAGTATTATTTCATGTGATGCATCACATTCTGAAAGCTACAGAAGCCATTGTATTGGAATCAACATATGGAGTATTTCTCAAGAACTCATGTTGGTTCCTTGGCTCGTGTGGAAGATCAAGCAAAAGCTTCTGAAGTCCTAATGGAAATAACATTAAAAAAATTCACTTCTTGAGGTAATGACAGAAATCAGTCCCACCCTTATAGACCTGAGAGATGTGGGGTCATGAGCCCCATCATACCTCCAGCTGCAAAGACAAAGTGAAACCAGAAAGGTAAGCGTATATTACTGCAAAAGCAACCACCTAATAATTCGTGACTGCAGCTCCTGTGTCACGGATGGGATTTTCACCAGAGCGGATCAACACAAATTCCTGGTCAAGGTGTGCAACCAGCCATTTGGAACATGTGTTTTTTACATCCCGGTTAGACGAAAGCATCAGAAACAGTCCACATTCCCGTGCAGTAAGCAACTGAATATGTTTACAGTGCTTGGTGCTGGCTGTCTGCCTCCTATACGCATTGCCTTGGCTGAAGAAAGTCACCATATGCAAGTCAATCCCCTTCTAGGAGGTCCACATCGCGTGTTAATTGATGGAAGGGGGTGTTAAATAGGCCCAGTGCCCTAGTCCCAACCCGTGACACTTCTAAAAGATCATCCCAGGTGCAGAACACCCCTATGGTTGGCTGAGGCCCGCACTATGATTGCACCTCCGTTCGGTAATTCTCTTGTCCCAAATCTGCTTCTTTTCCTTCCCTTCCATTTCATAAGAAAACTCTGCTAAACCTTCACATTCACCTTCATCTCAAAGTATGCTTTTTGGGAAATTCACCTTGCAGCAGAAGCCTAGTAGAAATATTAAAGATAGATTTGTGTATATGTATATTCATTTATTTTGACTTGAATAAAATAACATCTTCAGCAATATTTATCTCTCTGAGCAAAAGTGGTAGCCAGAATGTTTACTTTTCCCTGTCAATAATAAAATTCATGATCTATGATTGTGTATTTGTAAGCTGGCATTGAGTTTGCTAAGTGCCATGAGGAGAAACTGAGATAATCCATGTGAAGGTCTTGACTGATTTTGGCACAATGGGAAAAATAAAGAGAAAGAGAGACAGAGAGACATGAGTTAGTTAAGAAGAAAATCACAATAATTTCCCAATCACATTCTAAGGTAAGAATGACCTAGCAAAACTATACATAGGCAAATTTATATCCCAAAAGGTATTGAGTGTTGTTATGATATGCTCTATTACATATTTCATGCATCGTTTATGAATTATTGCATCCTGCCTTATGGGCATAATTGTGAGTGTGTACATCTACACACACAACACACTCAGGCATGTACTTTACCAATGTCATCTTAATTTCCCTACAAATTTATTTAAAGTCATTTAAATATCATTCATATTTTGTAATTAATAAAGTTGCAAGGCTGAGTATAGTAGTCTTCAAAAACACAAACTCTATTTCAAGCTATATTTCTGTGTTTAGTTTTTAAATTTCCGTATTGACTTGACATCCTTTCTTGCCTGCATTTTCTTTGGGCGTTAATATCTCCAAAAATTTTGCTTTTAATGACTCATGTTTATCCTTGAAAGAATAAGCATGTTCCAGAGGTTCAAACTCAGCTCTGGAGACTAAAGTCTCATAGCTTTAATCTGCCGGCCATTAACTTTTGCTTGTCCATAGGCAAATAATTTATCAAAGTGTCTGTTTCTTTACCTGAGAAATAGGCACCTATTCATAAGGAACTTACCCAGAAAGCCAGTGTTTCTACTAGTAATTTTTTTCTGTGTAAAGAAGTTTAAAATGTAAAGTGGAATGTATATGCTATTTAAGTTTTCAGATTCAAATAAATTTCTACTCTTTCTTTATTGAGACTGTGATACTTTTAATACAAATGTGCTGTGTTTGTGAACTTATCATGGCTGTGAAACATATACAATTGCTTAATAAACCATGTCCTTCATCTGTCCCAGGAACAATGTTCCAGTTATCTAATCTTTTTAATTATATAATTATATAATTGCCAAAACATAATTGTCATAAATCCAATTGTTCATTGGACAACCACAGGTGTTGACTAATTCTATGTCTTGTAGTGAACATCCAAAAACATACCCCAAAAGAGGTTCAGGAAATAAGGAACTGATGTACAGAGAAAAACATAGATCAATCTGTATTTGAAGATCTCACTGAGGTTAAAAGGTAAAATAAAATAAATAAACAAAGCTATAGTAGGAATGACAGAGTAGGAATTGAAAGCATCAGATTTTGTCCTTATCTTTCCAGTAAAAGCCAGAGCTCTCTGCAATTCTTTATGATTGAAGCTCTCTCTTACATTTTCTTGTTACCCCTTAAAGAAATTAAGCTTTTATAGTGCTACCATATTTATCATTGTAAAACAGAAATATGAAGCTACAGGTCTTCTTGTTACAAACTTTTGTAAGTCGCCATAGCCTTCTAACTCTTCACAGTAGAAGCTTTGCTAATGAAGAAACCCACTGGATTAACCAACATTCACTGTTTCTTCCATAAACCTTTGACTTATGCCTACAGCACCCCCCTGCTTGTGGCCAGTATACTCTCTTCCTATTAAATGAATTACACGCATTCTAGGAATCAGCTATTCCCAAAGGTGTTTATTTTAGGTCCCTCCGTTAATTAAAATTTGATGATTTCAATTATTTGAACATTTCTAAGTGTTTCTCAATGCCATTCCTTTTTCTCGTTTTCTACCACAACACCACTTAGCCAGATTTTTACCACGATACCACTTAACTAGGTTGTTTCTAATTTGGAGCACACAGTATCTTCCAAACTAGTCTACCTTTATCCAATCTGCTGTAGGCCTCATCCCTCCATCTGCTATACATGGGCACACACACACATACATGCATGCACACACACACACAGTCTATTTGCACAGTAGGTAGATCTGTCTTTAGAAACTCATAAACTCGGCAGAACATGCTTTCATGAATTCCTCCTGACTTGTCTCCTGAAGTTTGCTTATAGACTAGGGTCCTTAATGTGGAAAAAAAAAATTACTGTGGCAACTTCTCAAACTAAAAGGAAGCACATGCACACTGATTTGGAGACTAAGATTGCTGGAGGCAGTATTCCACCAGATTTACAGCAAAAGGGAAGAGAGACGTCAATCCACCGTGTACTGGCTATTTCATGTTAAGAAAATCAATTTCTAGTCTGTAAAGGGATGGATAATTTCTACCTCTTCAGGTTTCTAGAACTTCATTATAATAACATAATTGTATGTGGAAATTGCTTAAAATAATAGAGCTCAAATGATTGTTTCATAAATGAATGGTAGTAGAAAAGTATGTGATTTTGGCAAGATAAATCCTATAATTTTTTTATTGCATTATAAAAACAAACCATGGTTTTCCTTATATCTCTTTTTCAAAGAGTTTAGTTTTGACGATACTGGAAGGTGGAATAAGTGAATTATAACTGAAGCAAATATTAGGGAAAAGTAAAATTGCTGTAAAAGTTAAAGGGGGAAAGGGGATCATTGTCCTCTGTTCCACTGGAGTTTTACCTTTGTGGTCACAAGGGAAGTCATATTGTCCTGAAATCGTTCATCACCATACTGACAAAGACCTTGGTTCCAAGACAATTACATACTCTCTCAGGAGTCCATCACCGAGTGATAATGACGTGTGAACACATTCCTCAGAAACCACAGACACGCCAAAAGGGCAATTTAACACCTCTTCAAAAGATGGATGAGATATGAATTATTCATAATGAGCTCAGGCCAGACTCTCTTCACCACCCTGGTTTGGAACACAGACTAGAGTGGTGTGAGCTATCATACCCGGAATTTGAGTATCTTCTCCCCAGTCAAAGGTCACAATCTTTAATCGATTTAATACTTTTATCGCAGGTGGGAGAGGACAACCCTCTCTTTCTCTCAATTTCATTATCTCCTTTATTTCATCTGGGATTTTCCTTTGTTGTGTGCTCGTGCATATGTGCCTATGTATGTGTGCATGTGTGTGTTTGTGTGTGTGTGTACACTTCGTGTGGACTTCACTTACGTATATCCTACATTTGAACCCAAGTATTAGAAAACATTTTCTGTGTTGCATTTCAATCTTCAAGTTTGCCTTTCGTATGCTTTTGAGTCATAATTTATATCTATGAGAAGATGATCCTACTGACTTAAAACACAACTATTCATTTCCACCGGCATGATGAGCTAATGCCAGAATTCACCCACAGGCCCAAGGGAGAGGCCAGAAATGCTTGTGAGGCAGATATTGATTAATGCAATATGTCTAAGAATGGGAAATATTTTCATTGTGTTGAGTCGATTGATCCATAAACAATCATGACCCATAATCACCTACTGTAAACCTGTGTTTGTCAAACAGTATGTGGAACTCCAATGACACTCTGAAAATTTAAATTCCCATAATTGTTTGCAAATGAAAATTCTTTTTAGATAATTATGTGAAATTTTTCATTTATATCATTGATAACTGAAAGAGCATTGCTGATGAGTTAAATTCTGTTTTCTCTTATTCCTCCAAATCATACATTCATCTTACCCAAAAGTTTCTCCTTTGTGAAACTGATAAATAGGCTAGAATCCATATAGAATGTGGACCTATACCCTTAGTAAGAATATTCATGATATTTCTTTAATTAGTATATACTTATAATACTAGTCAAATGATAGTGTTCCTTAAAATTGATGGTGTTCCTTAAAATTCCTTATAAGTATACATTAGTATTATAAGGGATTCTGAAATATGCATTGAGCAAAGCATTTTGTCTTCAATCATATATAAAATCCAAGCCACATTTTCCTTTCAGACCCTGTTATTATTTTAATGCTGTTACATTGTACAAAATTATTTTTTTAAATGCTCAGATTTAAACTCTCAGGAAAGTGGATATAAATAGATGTAGAAAGAAGATACACAAAGAATAGCTGAGTGACACAATGAAGAAGCACTCAAATGAAAAATGCAAGCACTTGAAGTTGCTGAGCCTCAACGCGCTTTTGACCAAGGACAGCCTTTCTGTGGGCATATATTTCTCTTGTTTTTTATTGTAATAATCAGTTTCCTTTTATGAAATCATATTTACATATGTAGACTGAGTAAACCTCTTTCTTGAAATGAATCTACTAACCAAAACTCTATGGCTTCTGATTTTTCTTATATGTAATTTGCTTGTGTATTTTTTCCCTTAATTATGTTAGTGTATCCATTTAAAGACACCATCAATTTTAAGGAACACTATCATTTGACTAGTAAATTGGAAAGGGAAAAATGAAATACTATCAATTAAATATACATAACTATTGTATGCGAACCCAGAATTCTAAAAATGAATTCTTTAGTGAAAAGATAGATATGCATTTTAGAATTTAGAATATAGAGATATTATGCTAGAAGTCTGAGTATTTTACTGATTTTCCATTTTAAGAATAAATTATCATGACAAATTTTAAGTTACATATATTATTTTATTGCTAAACTTTTTAAAAACATTATCAGCTTACCTTGGCATTTCTTTTCTTTTTTTAATCTCTCTTTTTACGTTGTGGACTTTTAGTAAATTAATTTGTACTCATTTTTATTTAATTAAGAAAGCTAAGAATAAATGCTAGTGTCTGATTAAACTATTTCCCAGATCTCAAAAGTTTTGATGTAAAGTGTCCTTATTGCTATTTTATATAAATTTATTCATGTGTTTATTTTAAAATTGGTGTCTATATTCCATATGGCAGACACTATGCTAAGCGTTTGGAATAATGTGAGGAACAAAAATGAAATTCGACAGACATTTTAGTAGGGCATGCTGCTATTAAACACATTGTCATGCACGATATGTAAAAATGAAAATGTGATATGTGACCAAGCAGAAATGCATGGTGTTTGGAAGTCACTATGTATCAACATGTACCCCTGGGATTTAATCTCTGGAGTGATACATCAAGAGGCTAAAGCCAGTGACCAAGAAGTTATTACTCAGTACTTATTTCCCAAGAGGGACACACTGCACCACAGAGGGCCTCCTGGGGAAGAGCCAGGTTCAGTGAGGGGGCAGGAGTGAGAGGACAGCCTGGGCCAGAGCCTGTGTTGTGTTTTCCGTGGGAAGCCAGATCAGGACAGGGAAATCCCTTTAAGATAGGGTTGGTCTCTAGTTGGTGGGACCTGGCTGTGGGTTGATTTAGAAAAGAAGAAATCTTGGCTTGTTGGATGACAGTCAGATAAAGGAGGTGGTTGAGGGTATGGACTCACATTTATGAAGAACAATAGGTCAGTGGCTGTTCATGTAAATAGCTCCTTACAGATGGAGGCAAGGGTGTTTCCCGAGGATTTCATCTACACGTGAGGTTTATGAGTCATTATGAGTCTTTGGTGTGTATATTCTTTAAGATCCACTAATACCTAACTTTGTAACTTTTTACAATCTGAGGGACAAAAGTATTTCCTTAATTTTCAATTAGCTCAATAATAGAGACAATGACCATCACTTGAAGAAATTAGTCATTACAGTTTCCCTGAACATGAATAGTCTACTTGTATTTTTTGTTCATTTTTCTACTATTTCCATATTACTTCCACCTAGTTTAAAGATGTTTATAGTATTTTTAACTGATATGCTTTTCTGATATAACTAAACATTTCTGGAAATTTTCTGTCAATTCCCACTTCTTTGTTCCACAGAGAGTTTAAATTTTATGTAGTCAGTGTCTTGCCTTATGAACTGTATGTCTGGGATCTCATTTAACAGGTTCTACACCAGCAAAATAAAATAAAGATATTCTCTGATATTTTTTCAACTCTATTTGTATTTTTGCTTTTACATGAGAAAAGTAAATTCTATGAGGATATTTAATTTATGAGAATCTTACTTTTGAATATTATGTAAGGTAGGTAGGTACTCTTATTTGCAACTCAGAGCTTTTATCCCAACATGATTAATGTAGCGTTTCAGATTTTAGTTTACATAGTTGTATGTGTATACATGTATATGTGTATATGTATGTGTATACATGTATATGTGTATATGTATGTGTATACATGTATGTGTGTACATGTGTTTATATACATATAGACACAGGTAAGTCTTATGTCAAGGTTTGTGCACACATGGATCACATATTGCACTGTCTGCTCTATTCCATTTGACCATTTGTTTTGCTTAGGGTCATTACAACAATATTTCTTACCGCCACACACTTGTCATGTGGCTTCCTCTGGCAGAACAACTTTATTCTCATCACTCTTGTTTGTCAAAATCACAATAGCTATTTGTGGACTTTCAACATTTAAAAAATGATTACATCTTCAAAAACTCTAGTGGAAATTTTGATCCAAATTACATTGTAATGATAGAGTAGTGTGAAGAGCTTTGAGATAGACATCTTTCTTTTATTAAGTTTTCCTATCCATAAAATTTGTACATCTCTCCATTTAAATATTTTCTTTTTCCTTTAATTTTAATTTTCAATGTAAAAGTCTTATATTTTTCTAGGCCAGTTAGCGTCTAGATATATTATTCATATGTATGTGTGATATTTTGCCTTGCAATATATTTTCTGGTATAAATAACCACTATTAAGTTTTGTAAGCTCATCATATATTCATGAGATTTGATAAATTTCCTTATTGATTTATGGAGGCTGCTTCTTGATTCTGTTAAATTTTCACTGTAGCTGATCATATCATTTGCAAATCAAATTATTCTTCTTCCTCATACCTCTTGTTTTCATTTTATCATATGGCCGGGGCCTTCAATTCTATATTAAAAAGTAACATTGATTGTAAGCACACTTCAATTTTGTTTGTAAAAGATATGAGTTATTCTAAACTGTTTATGTAAGTTTAAAAAAATATTTTTGTATGCAGCCTCTGTCAAGTAATCCATATTTTCTGTGCTTTAATAATAAAATATTGAATTTAAACACGTTTTACTGTATCAATTGAGATAATCTTGTGATTTATAAATTCATTAGTATTTTGAATTTCATCAACAGATTTGCTGATATTAAAGCATTCTTGCATTTTTAAATATACTTGACTATTTCATCATCCAGAGTTAAATAAAAATAGTCCAAATATAATATCAGCTATTTAAAATTTAAAAGTAAGGTGGGCCTATGATTTTCTTCTTATTTTCTTTTAAACATCAATTTGATGCTACCTAAGGTGTAAAAGAAATAGCATAAACTACACAACAAATTGTTACTTTTTTTAGTAATACAGGGTTGAAATGTTCTTTGTAAATTTGAAAGCAGTAACCCTCAAGAAGACAGTGTATTTCTATAAAATGAAGATTTTTTAGCATTTTAATTGCTTTGCATTTTTTCTATTAATATACATTCAAATACATTGATAGATATTTATTTTTATTACTTTGGGCATGTCTATTTTCTTTGGCATTCCGAAATTTTTAAAGTTTTATATTTTGCTTTCTATATTCTGTTTTCTTCTTAAATAGTCTTTCCAGATTTTTTTCTCCTATTAATGTACTGTTTAAAATTCTTATTTTTAACTTTGTCTACTGTGTTACCACTTTCGTTCATAATTATGTCCTTTACTTCACAGTTTTCTTCTTTAATTTTTATTACAACCTTGCTTCATTCTTTCGGTTGATTATATAATTCCTATTCTAGTTTTTTTGGTGAATAATTTGTCCATTCTTTTATTTTTTCATTCAATTTTTCTGAAAAATTTATTTCAAGTTATAGATTTCCTGTTAAAAGCTGCTTTAGTATCACATTTTTGTGCACTTTTACTGTATCCTAGTTTTAGATATTTCATAATTTTTTACATATTTTTTCTTGAATCCTAGGGTTTTACAGTAGCATCTAAGTTGGTTTCTAAACATATGACTTTTTACAAAATCTCTCTTGCTAGTGACATTAAAAGTGAGAGATCATGTTCTATATAATGGCGATTCTTTAGAATTAGAGACACTCTTTGCTGCTCAATACAGCATTATATTTGTCAATGTTTCTCATACAGTCAAAAATAATAGTATTATCCATTGGGTTTTCAATTATTTGACCAGACACGGTGGCTCACGCTTGTAATCCCAACACTTTGGGAGGCCGAGGCGGGCGGATCACCTGAGGTCAGGAGTTCAAGAGCAGCCTGACCAACATGGCGAAACCCCATCTCTACTAAAAATGCAAAAGTTAATCTGGCGCGGTGGCGGGCAAATGTAATCCCAGCTACTCAGGAGGCTGAGGCAGGAAAATTGCTTGAACCTGGCTGAGATTGCGCCATTGCACTCCAGCCTGGGTGACAGAGCATGACTCAGTCTCAAAAAAAAAAAAAAAAAAAAAAATTATTTGCCTGTGTAGACCCATATGCATATATGTATATCTATTTACATATCTACACGCATAAACACATGCACACGTGTCATATATTATATATGCATAAAATATATACCTTTAATTTCATTGCTCAAATATTTGTATGCATATGTGTATATATATATTTGGTCAGTTTGATTTGTCAGTTTTCTAGATAATATTTTTAAAATCTTTAACTATCATTGCCTATTTATCTGTGGTTTAATTTCCTGGAAACCAAGGGACTTTTCTGCTCAGCGCTCTACCCAGCTTTCTGTGTTAGTGCTATGGAGTCGTCATCCTTATACTCAGCTCCGTAGCTGCCAACAGTAGGACTAAGGAAGCCAGTCAGCTCCCCATGCTAAATGATCACCTATTAGGAAACAAAAGCCTTATACATTAAGTATGCAAAGAATATTTTCAAAAATCTTTCTGATTTCTTATGCTTTCCTGATTTCAATATTACTGCCAAACATTTCATAAAGAACTTTAACATTGTGATCTTTTGTTTTTATGTTTATGAAACGAAAGATATCTCCAAGTACTATTTTTACATGAAAAACATGAGTATGTTTTCTGAGTACTTATTTATCTAACAATATATTTACATTGTCTTAAAGCAAGACAAACTCTTAAACACACCCACAGATTATTAGAAACTATTTTAGTTTTTCTTCCATTATATCTAAGAAATTCTGCAAGAACTATTATTTGATTTTGTTATTTATATTGATTACTAAAGGGGATGCTGAATTTGTCTGATTTTCTGTGACTTTTAAGTAGTGTTCTGGCTTTTGACTTCATATTTTAGAGTTATCACTACTTTGTTTTAAATTCTATATTATTCTGTTATCTGATTTATTCACTTATTTATCCCTCCCACCATCCGAAGTTTACTATTTCTTTAATGATTTCCAGGAGTGATATTTTCTTCACAGTCACAAGGCAACAGTTGTTTCTGGTTTCGGTGACAGTCCATGCTATAGTTTCAGATTCCTTAGATCTACAAGCTGTACGTGACTTGCTGTGCTTCCATCCAAGGACAAGTGTCTTCTCTCAGCTGGGGTGAAAACATTGCCTAAAGAAGGCTTTGCCGGTTTGCCATGAGAATTTCTACTTTTGTACAGTCCTTTCTCTTACCTTCCTCATCTGCGGTTGTATTTTGAGACTTCCACCACTGCAGTGCATTTACACTTATGGGAGAAACAGCTATGGGAATGGTCCACACAGTTCAAACACTAGCACATGTGCAAAGACGGGATGCTCAATGAGCCTTCTGTCCAGCAAAGAACCTGGATCTCCGTAGGATGAGCGCCTGCCATGGAAGCAGGGAGATGGATGGTTTTTATACTGTGTGTGCTGAGCATGGTTTTTCTTTCATGAGGTAAAGCCTCTGATTTACTTCTTTCTGTTTAGTTTCTGTAAATTTAAGAGAAGATATTCCTTGCACAGTTTTGCAGTAGCTTGTCAATATTTGTGCTCAGTCCATGTCCACCCTAATAAGAATTACACACGCATTTTACTGGATGGTGAGAGGCACTGACATGTTTAACTCTGGGATATGAAAATATAAATTTAAATCATTTGTCTTTCATTTTATGTACCATTTTATAAGCCATTTGCAGAAAAAATTAATCCCAACTTTACATCTCTCTTCAAAACATTTTCTTTTGGTAAATTTATACAGAGCAGTGTTTTCTAAAGTCACTGAATCCTTTGGATAGTGGCCACAATTCTGAATCTTTGTTTTAATGGTCAACTATTGTCAGAGCCAAAGCAAATCAGAGAGCAACCTTAATACTAGAATAGCTGGTGACGCACAAGAAATAAAACATGTCTGTTCCAAATGAGGAATCAATAGACCTTATGGAGGCAACCCTCTTAAGATGTCTTGTCAATAATTAATGGCAAAGCACTAGTTTTCCTGGCCTTCTCAACTTCTCTTCAGAGGATGTAAGATGCAGCTAGCATACTTTGAACTTTTTATCCCACTCACCTATCTCCACTGGGTTTGCTGTCTGGTCCTCAGTTTTCTGTCCCCCAAATAATGTCATGCTTTATAGTATATGCTGATGAAATCCTTAAAAAAAAGAGATTAGAAGATTCAACCGAGATAACTAAATGCAAGACATCTTAGAGGAAGGGTCAGTTTTCCTTTGCATAAAATAGCAGTTCTGATCTATTCATCACATTCTATCACACTTTTTTTTTTTAATCAGAAGGAAGAGAATGCTACATTTTTACTAAATTGTTGCCAGTTGTTCTCTCTTGGCAGATAATTTTAAAATTTATTTTAATTTCAATTTTTATAGATTTAGTGGGTACAAGTGCAGTTTTGCTACATGGATATATTGTGCAGTGGTGAAGTCTGGGGTTTTCGTTTGACCATCACTGACATCGTGTACATTGCACCCAATAGTTAATTTCTCATTCCTCACCCTCCTCCCACCCTCCCACCTTTCCAAGTCTCCAATGTCCATTTTTTCCATGGTGTGTACATGTGGACACATGATTTAGCTTCCGCGTATAAGTGAGAACATGCAGTATTTGAATTTCTGTTTCTGAGTTATTTCACTGAAGATAATGGGCTCCAGTTACATCCTGGTTGCTGCAAGAGACGTGATTTCATTTTCTGTGGCTGAGTTGTATTCCATGGTATATCTATACTCCATTTTCTTTAGCTAATTATTTGCAGATATTCTAACTCCATGAATACCCAGGTGATGACTGAAGGTCATAATATCATGCACTTCACAAGAGGAGGCAACACTTATTTATTCCAGTGTTCCAGGCAGGGAAGACAAAACTCCAGGAGGAGGAATACATTTCATTTCAGAGTGAATTTTAACAAATGCTTTAAAAACTCATTCTAAAACCACTAGAACCAACTGGAATTTCATCAGGGAAGCACCAGAAACAACTCGTGGGGCTGAATTTCTGCTGTTTGAAGAGTCACTGTGACTTTTTCAAAACATTTTGAAAAAAAAATTCGAGAACGTAGTGAGGAAGAGCACAGAGTGGTGTTTGGAATTTTACCATCTGGAAAAACACATGCCTTTGCCTTTAGTGAATCTTTAAATAAGAATGAATTTAGAACCTCCTTTTTTATATTTAACTTCAGACTTCATAAAAGCTTTATTTAAAATCCAAATCTCAGCAGAGATTAATGTTGACAGATGCATAACTTTCTAAAACAAGGATTCACAATTGTTTCCTGTTGTAGCTCCAATGCACTGGTGACTGGTTATTCTGAATAAAAATGCACTAATAATAATGAATGAATATTACTGTGCGTTCTTACTGATACTACACTGTGTAGCAGAAAAGGAATGAAGAGAAATAGGACGTTTTTTCCTTTATTTATTTTTATATCAAATGTTGGGGGAAAAATCTTAATATTATTTTATTGTTTAGGGCTATTTTTAAAATGGCATTTGCAAGACTGTAATTGGACTGAAAATGTGATATACATTTCATGGTTATGAGGATTTAGGATTGCTTTATGAGTATGTGCATTGAAACCTTTTGTTTTTCTTGCAGTTCTGCAGCGGATTTAGAGTATCTTTTAACCAATGCAGTATTGCCACTCCCTTTGTTCTGTTCGTTTGTCCTCAGCAATTTTTTTGTCCCCACCCATCTTTTTTGGTTTCTACTCTAAGATCTGTAACAAATCACATTGTCCTTATTTTATAAACGAGGCTACTGAGGTAAAGGCGAAGGTTGAGCTGATGATCTGTAATGCCATCTCTAATTTTAATATTATATGAGTCTAGTATGTCATAGTCCTTAATTTTAAAAGAAAACATGTAGTGCTGTGTACATGTCCATTTTACATACAGATTTTTAAAAAATTGGCATACAACCGCATTATGAGTTAACAGATTTCACACTTATAAAATATAAACAAAATAACAAATGCATTAAAGAGAGCTACTATTGTGTTTCTACGAAAGGCCCTGATAATACATTGTGTACAGTGACATTTAGCAATCTTTTGAATGACTGAGCTCGAGTTCCTGACAAATGCCTTCCACAGGTAAAAACAGGACGTGGACAGGATGGTAGAAGGGCCAGCGAGGAGTCATCATGGAGCTGCATTCTTTGGAAGCCTCGAAAAGAGCTCTATGAGGTTATCATTCTGGGACTTGATTATCCCCGGTGTAAAAAAAAAGGAATTGAATGAAATGGTTTCTGAGGATGCTTCTCACTCTAGATTTCTGAGCTTCTATTTAATATTCACTGATTCCAGAGTTCCCCAGGTACAGAGAATGAGCAGCTATGTAGCAATGTCTTCAAGGTGCTATTTGTAGAACCAAATGTAACCAAAATTTAATTTTTATATACGCAAGGGAAAGCAAATGAAGCGGAAAACATTGGCCTAAATACCAAAGTTAGATAAAAATGAAGTATAAACCTAGCTTTTACTCTGTAAGATACATTAGCTTGACTATCTTTCATTCTTACACTTGTAGTAATGCTATTTGATGTTAATAATAAAAAGAGAACTTAACAGGTATTAGTTCAGCTGAGTGTCATAGTTTTGTTACATTGAGCACTAAAGAATTCAGACAGAAAAATGAATGAAGACAGCAATGGCTATTATTTCTAGAAAGAAGAGCTATATACTCAACGTATGCATTTATTTAAGTAGAGTATAACTCTAAGAGAATGAGTAAGCATAACTACCACCCTAATACTTATCATACTGCAGTCAAAAGGACTAAGTCTAGCAAAGCATAAAATAAATCCAAGACTGTTAATTTCACTAAGAAGTCTTGCAAGCCAAGACTGATGGTAATGACTCCAGCTAGGAGATTATCACAACGATCCCTAATAGTGATAAGTGATTAGATGGTGAACTGAGATTCTGACAATGAAGATATAAGAGCTAGCAGGTACTGAGTGTTTATGTGCTAGATACTTTTCTATGTACTACGCACATACTAGTCAACTTAAGTCTCAAAAAACTGTGATTAATTCTCTCTAAACTCAGCTGCAAAATAAAGATATTGTGTCTAGCTCCTTCATCATTACTGTATTCTGCCTTTCTTTTTCTTTCTTTTTTTTAAATTTTTTATGAGACGGAGTCTCACTCTGTCTTCCAGACTAGAGTGCAGTGGCACAATCTCAACTCACTGCAACATCTGCCTCCTAAATTCAAGCAATTCTCCTGCCTCAGCCTCCTAAGTAGCTAGGATTACAGGCACTTGCCAACATGCCCAGCTAATCTCTTTGTATTTTTAGTAGAGACAGGGCTTCACCATGCTGGGCAGGCTGATCTCAAATTCCTGGCCTCATGATCTGCCAGGATCGGCCTCCCAAAGTGCTGGGATTACAGGCGTGAGCCACTGCTCCCAGTCGTGTTCTGCCTTTTCACGAGGGTTCAAGAGGGGACACAGCTGATAAATGATTAGGAGCTGGAAACAGGAAACAGGGAGCCTTGGTGGTCCACATCCATCATTACATTTGGTGGTCTGTAGGGCCACAGTGAGCAAAGTATGAAACCTCTCTTTCAAAAGTGTTCTTCGTAACACACACACACACACGAACACAAACACATCTGCATTAGACTTTATTAATGTCAAGGTGATCGTATAAGCACCTTACTATTACATCAACAACTCTTGTAAAGTGTTTATTAACCATGTGTTTGTCAGAAATTGAGTATCTGAGGTCTAAGGTTAATCATCTGAAGTCAAACAGATTTAAACCTGCTTTCCAGTCCCAAATCCACATTTCTTCCCTTGACTTGAAAGACAAACAAGAATTAGAAAGTAGGGAAATGAAGTTGCACCTGTCACAATGCACCAGAGAGACTTTCCTCATTCTTTTTAGTAAGTTCATAGCTCCCATCCATGTACATGCTGGTCTCATGTAGGTTTTCATACTAAGGATTGCATTGATATTCCTGAACCTTAATTTTTATTAGCTAATCAATGGAGTTCAAAGATGGGCATTTAAAAACCATCCTTGAGTGCTCTGGAAATGCAGGCAGTATAACTTACCTGTCATCTGATTATTGTGAAAATAAGTTCATACCTCCTGCTATTGAAAGTGGACGATACTCCCCAGAGTTCTTTATGCAAATGCAGAATTCAAGATTAGAAGTTTGATTGATCCTCTTTATTTGCCTCTAAAAAGAGTAAGATGGAACAATCTCAGTCAATCCATTAGACTTCAACAACTGGCTCTAAATGTCCTATCGTGTAGGTAAGTGGAAAAGAAATCTGAAAAAAATAAAGAAATGGAATAAACGCATTAAATTTGTTTTATGTATGAGAAAGAACTATTTGAGTCAGTCATCATAAAGAAGTATGCTTTTAGCACTTAACAAATTCAACAGCCGTGGACCACCTAAATAATTGAATCTGGCTTTACTTTTGATTCAGAAAGTTCTCTTCAACTGCAACAATTGGACGTCTCTTTGGGTCTGTAATAATTAATTAAAAATATAAATGGAGAGTTAGCTCCTTTATTGCTTTCTAAATTTTTCTCCTTAATACAATGGTGTCCCAAGTCTGTGGGGACCTCAGCAGAGTTCACTAGATCTGAGAAGTGAAGCACATCTGTTCAAATCTGAATGGAGTGCAGGGGACAAGCGATGTCAGGGCACTAAGGGCATCTCTGGGTAGGTTTTTGTTTTGTTTTGCTTTTTTGTGTTATGTTGTTTTGTTTTGTTTTGTTTTTTCACCTACAGTCTCACTCTGTGCCCAGGCTGGAGTGCAGTGGCGCAATCTCCACTCACTGCATCCTTCACCTCCCAGGTTCAAGTGATTCTCCTACCTCAGCCTCCTGAGCAGCAGGGACTACAGGTGCATGCCACCACCCCAGCTAATTTTTGTATTTTTAGCAGAGATGGGGTTTCACCATGTTGGCTGGGCTGTCTCGAACTCCTGACCTCAGGTGATCTGCCCACTTCGGCCTCCCTCAGGGCAGGTTTTGTTGGCACACATACTTAACATAATAAGTCACGGTGGAGACAGCAGAAGGTGGGCTCCAGAATTTAATCATAAGATTTAAGGGCAATTTTGGATAGTTTGGTTTGACATAAGTATTCAATGATTTTATACAGTTGTTAATTAGGTAAATGAAGCCAGCTTTGACATGAAGTATCAGAGGGCACTTGAAGTAAAGTAGGTGTCAGAAGCACCTTGATTAGGGCTATGTGCAATCCACATGAGGTGTGAATAGTGCATCGGGATTTACAGTGGAGAAGAACATGCGCTTATTTCCTTTTCTCTCAATAGTTTTTAACCAGGATGTAACTGACTGCATTGGTTTGCAGTGCACTCCTGTGGTGGCAGTGGCTGTGGGTGTGAGGGGGGAAGAGCGGGTTTCGTTTCCATCCTTGTTGATCTTTGCAAAAATCACATTGTAGAATTTAATGGTTGGCTCTAGTATGTACATTTACATTTTGCCCCATTTGCTAAGTATGAATGTGAACCATAATGAAGAAGTTGAGTTGCATGCCAGCCATGAAACTGAGTTACTAGCAACCTTACACCCTTTCTTTACATTGGGATGATTACCAAATGAGGAATGCAAAGCTAAACTTCATATCTTATTATCCATATGAACAACACTAATAGGAGAAATAAACGTTTGGTTTTACACTTAATATTATGAGAACATTGAATGCTTTCATATTTATTCAAAAATCTCACCGTTTATATTTAGTATATTGACCATATTCGAAAAATTAGTATCAGAAAATATATAGTATTTCTATATCTTATTTCTGCTTTATTTCTGGTGAAAATATTTTATATGTATGTATATATATAAAATATATATAGATATGTATAGATCTAGATTTTATCTATACATATTTAGAATTATCCAGCCAGACCCAGTTTAGATAATCCCAATTTTGCCGGCAACATCTAAAGCATCGTAATCAGGAGGCAGTTCAACATATGCCTTCTTCTCTCTGTCACACCTGATCAGGGTGTTGACCTTGGCCACGTCCATGTCATACAGCTTCTTCACAGCTGGTTTGATCTGGTGCTTATTGGCTTGACCATCCACAATGAACGCAAGTGTGCAAGTGTGTTATCATCTTCTGTCTTCTTCCTGACAGACTCAGTGGTCTGTCTGAGGATGGCATGGTGGTCAAGCTTGTTGCTCCTGGGGGTGCTCTTCCAAGAGCATTTGGGCTGCCTCTGGAATCATGCTGTCTTGGACCACAGGAATGTGCGTTAGGTGTGCATTTTCTTTTGTGTCTGCGTGTGACTGTGGACACATTTCAGCACTGCCTCCTTGGCCTTCAAAGCATTAGGAGGGGCAGGAACATTTCTTTTTGCCTTCAGTACCATCTTGTGAAAAGGGCCTATATCTTATTTCTTTATTCATTTCAATCACTTACAGTGACCAAGAATTATATAAGTGGGAATTGAAATTTTCCTATGTATTTACAATATATGCTTTAGCCAGGCACGCTAGCTCATGCCTGTAATCCCAGCACTTTGGGAGGCCGACGTGGGTGGATCACCTGAAGTCAGGAGTTCAAGACTAGCCTAGCCAACATGGCCAAACCCCGTCTCTACTAAAAATTAAAAAAAAAAATTACCTGGGTGTGGTAGCAGGTGCCTGTAATCTGAGCTACTCAGGAGGCTGAGGTAGGAGAATGACTTGAACCCAGCAGGCTGAGGTTGAAGTGAGCCAAGATGCTGCCATTGCACTCCAGCCTGGGTGACAGAGTGAGATTCCATCTCTCTCTCTCTCTCTTTCCCTCTCTGTCTCTCTCTCTATATATATGCTTTCTAAAATTCTTTTTGTAAAAACATCTTTAACATGGTTGCATGCATATTACCCTACACATAGTAGGTGCTCAAAAAACTTCTGGTGAATGAAGGAAGGTTAAATGAATGAATATGTGCTAAATAACCCCTTGATTTTTCAATATGTAATAAGCAAGAGTGAGAATGAGAATGTTACGGGATTTTTTTAACAAGACATTTCCAAAACTGGGTTCATTACAGTTTCTTAAATATTTTGCAGCCTGGATTTTGTCATCTTTTATGAAATGCCAGAACTTCATGTTTCAGTGTTTATGACCAGACGTTGTTGCTTAGCCTCCCACCGTGCGCCCAGAGTGCTATTCTACTCTGATCCCCTTACCTGATGGACAGTGTAACAGGAGGTGGGTAGGGACAACAAATAGGAATAGAAAAGTTCACAAGGGCGGACTTTAAATTAGACTTAATCTCTCTCTCTTTTTCCTATTTGTCTTTTCTCTCTTTCTCTTTCAGGAATTCAGAAGTTGAGCGGTAAATGTCACAGACATGAGTAAACAGGCGTTTACTCTGTTGTTCCTGAGTCACCAAGCAGCCACACTCTCCAACACCACAAGCTTTCTTCTAATACCCAAAGTTTCCCACAGGCAATTGATCAATCAACATTTCAGTTCAGAGAAGCTAAGATTATTGCATTATCCACAATAGGGTTTTATGTAAATCATAAAGCCCAATGAAATGATAGTCAAACTATTAGATATTCCATAAAGGCAGATGTTCAATTGTAGTTTCAGATGCTTGACGTGTGCAGAATGCCTTTCGAAAGGAGCTTTCTTTTCATGAAAGAGAAGACAATCCAAAGGATCATAAATGCTTCCTGGCTTAGTTTATTCTTTCCCACTGTGTTGATATCAGATGTGATCCCTCCAGATGCATGAATAGATACCTTTAGACCTCCACGGGGACCCTCCAAGTAGACATGTTTAAGAAGAGAGTAATATGAGACTGAAGTTCCTAGGAGAGTTCAAGACTAAAAACAAAAATATAAGAATGCTTAGATGTCATAGAACAAAGTGTATTTACCCTGTGAGTAAATGGAGAAGAGAACAGAAGCCCCACATCTAAATCTTGGGTATCCCAACATGTAATGGTTGGTGAAGATTTCTGTTAGTAGGCTGAGTAGGAGTGGAGAGTGGGGAAGGAAAAAAATTATACATTTTTAATATTGTATTCTGCAGGCCAAAAATAAAGCATTTCAAAAAGGAGGGAGTATGAACTGTGTGAAGGACACTTAAAAGGTTACCATGAAGAACTCTGAGAATTGTCCTTTACCTCTGGCAACGTGGAGAGTGCTGACAACCTAGGGAGGGGTAAGTGAGAAATGAGAGTCCCACAGGTGTAAATATAAGAGAGAAGAGGTGGGGATAAGTGGAGATTCAGGCCATGACTATTGACACTATTTTACAGATTTTTTTTTTTAATGGAGAGCAAAGAAATTGAGTGAGGAACAGAGAAACACGTGGAGCCCAAGAACAGCTTTTACAACTAACTTAAATATTTGGTAAGATAGGGTATATTACTGCACGTGAGATTGTCAACGGAAATAATCTACTAAGGACAGAGGAATAACAATAAGAGATAAGAATAAAAAAATGCTGAATGAATGAAATGAGTAGGCAAGAAAGAATTTAACCCAGTACATAGGTAGAAGTATTGACATTTGATAAAATTTATAGTTATAGACCTGACACTGAATGATTGAGATGCTTTACATAAGTGAATTTCCCCAAGACATGAAGTGTTACTTGCAGTGATTATTTATAGTGTTTTGTAGTTAAATCCTTCAAAAAGTTATTATGTATCCTATTGTCTAATTTATTTTTGCTCTTAAATGATTCAGGATCCCTAATATGAACATAATATGTCACAGATCATGCAGACAGTAGACAAGCATTATTTTTCTCTTCGAATTATCTTTGTAATAACCGTAGCTATTATTTTAACCTGAAAGATACTAAAAATTTTTACATTATAGGGAATGCGTGAATTGGGGTAGTCAGGAATTGAAGCTACACAGTAATTAAAAGAGAAAAGTTTTAATATAAACATTATTAACTATATACAGGGGATTAAATACTGAGAAAAGATAGGACAGAACACCAAAAAAAATGCCTTAGGACTGAGAGGAATATCCAAGTATGAAACAAACTTGGAAGGCACTTCCCGCCATGCTGGGATTCATGCCTCACTGGGGAAGGTGTATTTGAAGACCACAGATTGCAGAAAGCTCACTGGATTTCCCAAGACTTCCCCAGGCATCCCTCCCTGGGTTCCCCTTAAGCTGACATGAGCTGGCAGGCAGGCCTGGTAAGCTGGAAGCCTTCCCTCGGAGTACAGGTGGACTGAGGCTGGTTATATCAAACCAATGGGCTAGAGGGGCAAGGACGAAACCCTATGCCAAGATATAGGCTGGCTGAGATTGGCAAGCAGACAGAGCTCACATCTTCAGAGGAAGTCACAACTCTGGGAAAGAACTGGCAAGTTGAAAAGTGAGTGTCACTGGCTATGCCTTGGTGGAAGCCACACAAATGTACCTGGGGAGCTTAGTGAAGTGTCCGTCACCTGCAGCGTCCTCCAGGGCTTGCCACTGGGAAAGGAGACACAAGCAGGACACAAAAGGGGAGATGTGACTGAGAGGTTCTCAGTCCCCTGACAACTGGTGCAGACACTATTTTAATTGACTTTAAGTTTCCTTCTTGTAGTTGAAGCTGTCTTAACATCCTGTGGGGGCACCATAGATTATCAGTCCGAACTTGAATTTTTCAGGACAAATAAAATTTTTACACTGGGCACGGTGTCTCACACCTCTAATCCCAGCACTTTGGGAGGCCAAGGTGGATGAGTTAGCTGAGGTCAGGAGTTGGAGACCAGCCAGGCCAACATGGCAAAACCCCATCTCTACTAAAAATACAAAATGAGCCGAGTATGGTGCTGTGTGCCTGTAATCCCAGCTATTTGGGAGGCTGAGGTAGGAGAATTGCTTGAACCCGGGAGGTGGAAGCTACAGTGAGCCGAGATCGCACCACTACACTCCAGCCTGGGTGAGACAGAGCGAGACTCCATGTCATATAATAATAATAATAATAATAATAATAATAATAATAATAATAATAATAAATTTTAACTTTTACATTTTTAAGAAAGGGGACGAAACAAAATGGTGATATTTAACAGGCATAAACAGTCATCTAAGTCACAGTCTACCATATCAAGGTACCTTAAATTATTTCTGAAAAATTTCAGTAACTAGAACATGGTTCCCAACCATTTTGGCATCAGGGACTAGCTTCGTAGAAGACAATTTTTCCACGGACCAGGGAGTGAGAGGGTTTCAGGATGATTCCAGTGCATTACATTTATTGTGCACTTTATTTCTATTATTATTACATTGTAATATATAATAAAATAATTATACAACTCACCACGATGTCGAATTGATGGGAACCCTGAGCTTGTTTTCCTGCAACTAAATGGTCCCATCTGGGGTTGATAGGAGAGAGTGACAGTCAGGCCTTCGATTCTCATAGGAATGCACAACCTACATCACTCACATGCACAGTTCACAGTAGGGTTTCTGTTTCTATAAGTGAGAATCTAATGCTGCCACTGATCTGACAGGAGACTGAGATCAGGTGGTAATGTGAGCAATGGGGAGTGGCTGTAAATACAGATGAAGCTTTGCTCATTTGCTTGCCACTCACCTCCTGCCATGGACCCATAGTCCATGTTCTGGGGGTTGGGTATCTCTGAACTAGAGCATCGAACTGTACTTCTCTAGAAAATGATTTTTTTATAATGATCCACTAAATTCACTAAATATAAGCAGTTTCTCTGTCTAAACAAGTAATATGAACCACCTCCTTGGGAAGAGAATATATGAGATATATGTTATCTATTTCATCATGGACAAATTATTCTGAAATTAAAGTGACCACAGAAGCAATTACATAAAATGGTATGCTTTGAATCACATCATCTTCAGTCATAATACTATGACATTCAAGCGTCTCTGCTTAATATATTTAGCTATAATTTATGGAGCAGGCTCCTGGGATACTATAGTCATTATGTAACACATTTTTTTTACTTCCTTAGAATATGTTTTTCCATGAAACTTAAATGCATAAAAATGAAAACTACTCTAATTAGTCAGTAGTACATTATACCATATTGGGAAAGGAAAAGTTAGTAAGCCTGAAATATTTTCTATTCGTTTACTTGGTTGAAGTGCGGAAAACAAGAAAAGTAACCTCATCAGAACCCCTTACCAGGATATACAAATGACATAGCTACAAGGAAGTACACTAACACCTTTTCTAAGAGCAAAGTACATATTTACAGAATGCTTGTATCAAGATGTTCTTGATCTATCTAGGGTTGTATATGGGAGGCAAACCTAAAATTTATAAATTTATGGGACATGGTTTCCTTGAAAATTTCATATAGACTCCAGAGTATAAAAAGGAGAAGTTTGAAGACTGAAACAGCTTCTTTTTGTTTGATCCTGATCACATTGATCACTTAGAAATGTTATGTGTTGGATCTGGCCAAAAGCATATCTCACACCAAATATATGATGTGTGGTAAGCAATTCATGGTTATCAAAGGCAGTGATGATTGGTTGGCATTGTTTACTAAATGACACCAATATATCTGAACTATTTGTGGAAACTTGCACTACTTCCAGACATCACGTCAATCCTTAAAACAGAGTAGGCTTAGTTAGCTATCTATAGTTACAAAATGGTGAATAAACAGCATTCAAAGCAATTTGCGACATAGCTTATGTGTAAGTAGAAAAAGAAAGCAAGTCTAGATTCATTTGGCTACAACAAAAATTGTTTTCAATGTAGTTGTTATTTTGTTGGGCATGAGTTTCTTCCCAGTATTGAAATATTTTTCCCAGTTTTTCTTTCAGTATTTCTTCTGGAAAATCTGAATGTCTATGAAGCTGTCAAATACAAATGAGACAACCATACCTCAAGAGTTCAGTCTTTTATAAAAAGACATATGATGATTTCCAGTTCATCATTATTCTCAGCACACTATCGCAAGGACAAAAAACCAAACACCGCAAGTTCTCACTCATAGGTGGGAATTGAACAATGAGAACACATACACACAGGAAGGGGAACATCACACTCCAGGAACTGTTGTGGGGTGGGGGGAGGGGAGAGGGACAGCATTAGGAGATACACCTAATGCTAAATGACGAGTTAATGGGTGCAGCACACCAACATGGCACATGTATACATATGAAACAAACCTGCACGTTATGCACATGTACCCTAAAACTTAAAGTATAATAATAATAAAATTTAAAAAAAAAAAGACATATGAAATGAAGTAAGGAATGGCTGTCCCAAAATACTCTCCTCACCTCTTGTGGTCTCAGTGCACAAACCCTTACCCATATCGGTCAAGCAAGCTATTGTTACATATTTATTCAACGTTACAATTTCTCACAGGACCTTAAAACTATTAGTGTCTTGAATTTTCACTGACTTTGATTTTAACATAATGACATAGTTCTTTAAAAGGTTAATTATTCCTCTGTTCTGGTATCCCTTTCCTATTTCCATTTTGTTGAATCCATTTAGTTGTTTTTTTAATTCCTAATGAAAATGCTTTTGTAAGAAAATTACAACATTATTAGGCAACACTGAAATAAGATATTATTGATCCTCTTCACCAAACCAGCAGACATTTCACCATTAAGTAATGAAATTGAAAGTCATCGATACAGTTTCTGAGCCAAAATATCTCACTAACTGTCATAACTTGACTAATGGATCTCTGTTTATTTGGGCTATTGTGTTTTACATTAAGGTCTTACCTTTAATAAAAGCATCCAAACTTTTTAAAACTCTTTTATTCATTATTATATTCATTGATTTACTTAAAAATTCCTGTATAGAGAACACAATTAAGGTATATTTATTTGAAAAGTCCTGCTAATTGACTATTTATGTACAAAATAAGCCAGAATGACTTAGAAGGATACATAATATTAAAATGAGGCATAAAGAATACTAAATATCTTTTTCCCACAAACATTAAGTTTGGGCAAATTTATGATTAATAAAAGTAGCTTTTTAAATAATTATTCCCAGTAAAATATAAAATATATAGTATTTTCATGTCTGATACTCTGAAAGTTTTATTCCATTCCTTTCCTCTTAATGATTAAACAGGACATATTAATTTCTGATATACTGCATTTTTCTCCAGTTTTACATTTGCTCTTTTCCTTACTGCCTGCAGCTGACCTCTAAGGGGTTCAACACATTTGAATGGGACAGAACAAAATCTGTGATGCGTTAATGTCTATGAGGATGTCAACACCACAGGCTGAGTTCAGCTATTCCACCTGCTGCATGCTGATGACCTTAGTAATTCCTCTTTTTTTTTTTTTTTTTTTTTGAAACGGAGTCTCGCTCTGTCGCCCAGGCTGGAGTGCAGTGGCATGATCTCGGTTCACTGCAAGCTCCGCCCGGGTTCACGCCATTCTCCTGCCTCAGCCTCCCAAGTAGCTGGGACTACAGGCACCCGCCACCATGCCTGGCTAATTTTTTGTATTTTTTAGTAGAGACGGGGTTTCACCATGTTATTGTGGTCAGGCCAGGATGGTCTCGATCTCCTCATCTCGTGATCCGCCCGTCTCGGCCTCCCAAAGTGCTGGGATTACAGGCGTGAGCCACCGTGCTCGGCCAGTAATTGCTCTTTTTAAGCTTTATTTTATTTTAAATTGACAAATAATAATTGTATATATTTATGAGGTACACTGTGATGTTTCAGTACACATACATATACATCATAAAATGATCAAATCAGGGTAATTAACATTTCCACCACCTCACATGTTTCTTATGTCTTTGTTGTGAGAACACCTGAAATCCACTCTTTTTGCTATTTTAACATATACAAGACACAAACTGTAGTCAACATGCCATGCTACAGGTCACCAGGACCTGTTCCTCCTTTCTCACTGATTCTCTATACCCTTTGACCAATATCTCCCTCTCCCCCCCGCAATTCTCTTCCCCTCTCCTCCTGCCTATAATAGCCACCATTCTACTCTCTACTTCCACTAACTTGACTTTTTTAGATTTCACACAGAAGTGATATTGTGTGGTATATGTCTTTCTGTGCCTGGCTTATTTTACTTGGCAGAATGTCCTCTAGGTTCAGCCATGCTGCTGCAAATGGCAGAGTTTCCTGCTTCTTAAAGGCTAAGCAATATTCCACTGTGTAGTTCTTTCAACAGCCTTTCTTACCACCTGCAGAAACTCGGTGGTAAATCTAATTGAATCCAATTTTTTAGATCTTACATTCACAGGAGCAAAATTATTAATATGTAATATTTTATTTTAATATCACCTAAGGCAAAAGTTAGAGATATTTTGAAAGAGATAAACTCTAGAGGCTTAATTTGAAATTAATAATAATAATAATCACTTTATTCATTCACCTATCTTTTTTTAAGCAACAACAATTTACTTAGGTCTTACTATGAACTAGGCATAGTATTAAAAATGTTGATATAATGATGAACAAAGACATTATTACTGCCATCTTGAAACTGAGTTATCAGAAGGAAAGGTAGCCATTAATCAGATTGTGGAAGCATCCAAAAATAAGTAAAACTACAACTTTGCCACTTTGGGTGAAGGAACGATGTATTTGATAATAACAGTGTTATATAGAGGGATTTGATCTAATCCAGGAATTTAATAAGGTTCCTTCAAAGTTACTATGATTAAGAATTGTACTAGGGAGAGAAAATTACTCATTTCAATGCTTTAAAACAGAAGAGTAGGTGACCTCTTTTCAGAACAGAAAGCAAGCCACCATGGCTTGTGCAGATAAAGTGAGAAAACATGGTTTGAGAGAAGAATGGACGAAGCCGGCTTGGCGCGGCGGCTCATGCTTGTAATCCCAGCACTTTGGGAGGCCAAAGCGGGCGGATCACCTGAGCTCAGGAGTTCAAGACCAGCCTGGCCAACATGGCGAAACCCTGTCTCTAATAATAACACACAAAAAATTAAACGGATGTGGTGGCAAACACCTGTAATCCCAGCTACTTGAGAGGCTGAGACAGGAGAATCGCTTGAACCTGGGAGACGGAAGATGCAGTGAGCCAAGATCACACCATTGCACTCCAGCCTGGGCCATAAGAGTGAAACTTCATCCAAAAAAAAAAAAAAAGAAAGAAAGAAGGAAGGAAGAAAGAAAGAGAAGGAAGGAAGGAAGGAAGGAAGAAAGAAAGGGAGAAAGAAAGAGAAAGGAAGGAAGGAAGGAAGGAAAAGAAGAGAAAAAAGAAAAAAGAAAAGAAAAGAAAAAAAAGAGAAAAGAAAGAAAGAAAATGGATGTAGCTGGCTGGGCTAGAACACTTAGGGCTTTGTACACCCTCGCATGCATGGATTCACAGCCACACATTAGGAGTTGTATGCTAGTTTTCTACTAGCATACTATATGGATTGAAGGCATAAGTTTGAGAGACATCACTGGGTAGAAGGTGAGCCATCTTGAGATATTTGAATGAAGATTTGAGGATAACAGATTGTTACATGAGTCTGAAGTTGTCAAGAGGGGAGGTTCAGTGAGGGCTAGGATTGCATTTGATTTGCTTTCCTGACATCTAGAATCTTGCCTGGCACATGCCACGCATTCAGCATAGAATTAATTAATTAATAAATAAATACTTTGAGTATTTTGTATCTAGGTGATATAATTCCAGCCATGGGTACTCGGGAGTTTGCCAAGAGAGACGTGGACAGCATTTAGAAGGGGAGTTTGGACAGGCCTTAAAAGGACCCATTACTTAATGACCGACTGACAGGGTAAATTTCAACTGGGAATAAAAGGAGTGGCTAGAGAGGAAGGAGGTAATGGTGGTGATTGCTGCTGGACAGTCATATAGAATAACAACTGGGCGTTGTCCACAGAAGCTTCTTAGGTAGAGAAAATATATAATCTTCAAAGACAGTAAACAGGAACCAGACTACGAGGACTGGAGTTGAGGGAAAGGTGTGGAACTCAAGGGAATTTACTCCAGGGGAAACGTGGCTATAAAGGAAAAAAGGTATAAGGATTGTAGCTGAGAGAAGACAGAGAAGATCAAGAGAGTTGAGTTCTTTGAAGAATAATTGGAGACACCTGATCAGCTTTAAAAGCTCATGAGAAAAATAGAACTGAGATGGAGAAGATGAATATTCAAGAAAAAAAGGATAACTGATCATGTAATTGTCCAATGTCTGCCTTTTCAACTCTAAAAAATCTACTTAAGTTGTCCAAATATTGCAGAATTTTATAAACAGTTAGAGGCTGACTCAGTTATCAGATCTTTTCTGCGGTTTCCCAGAACTCTTCTGTAACTATTACTATCAAGCAACCTGTAAAAACCAGAGAAATTGTTGATTATTTCAGGCATTCTCTTGGTACGCTGACATTCTTCGTGATTTTCAAAATATTCCTCTTATTCTTTGCTGAGAAAAAATAGCTTAGCTGACATAAGAAGCTAGACATGATTTCCCAGAGATTTGGTAGAGTTCCAAATTTTACCATATGTTTGTATATGACTAGCTGGAAAAACAGGCTCTTATTGATCCTGAAGTTCATAAACTTGGTGTCATCAGTTGGATTAGGAGACGCACTATCTTATGTTTATAGTGAGATGGATTTATGGATTTTTCAGGATGAAGAAGAAGGTACCAATGATTCGAGTACTGGTTGTGAGTTGAACATTCCATTTGTTGTAAAAATGAAAATTTTTTTTTTCTTTTGAGATACAAAATAATTTTGCAAAAACATGTAATGACTCTGATGCTTCTTCAAGAAATATAGATCCATTAAGAACTAATGGAATAAAAATATTTTTTTCTGAGGCCAAAAATGAGAGAAAAATGTTTTTATCCCAATAATATCTTGCAAACAAAGCAGAACTGTTTGATTTAGAATATACATGTCTGTGATTGACTCCATTTTTATTTTTTATTTTGAAATAAGTTTAGAATTACAGAGTTATCAAAAGGAATACAGAGTTCACCCATGCCCTCACTTAACTTTGCTAATGGTAAACATCTTACATAGGCATAGAAAAATTATCAAATACTAAGAAATCATCATAGGTACAATTTATTCAGATTTCACCAGTTTTTCCTCTAATCTCCTTTTCCTGTTCCAGGATCCAATTTAGGACCCCACGTTATATTTTTGAGCTTTTGTCATTTCTCTCCCTAAGTCTTCTCCAATCCAGGACATCTTTTTTCTTTGTTTGATTGTTTCTTTCATTCTTTCTGTTTGTTTGCTTGTGTGGAAGGCGGTAGGGCAGCAGGTAGGAGATGTTACATGGCCTGACATTTTGAAGAGTAGTATTGGTCAGTTATTCTGTAGAATGCTCCTTAGTTTGGGTTAACCTGATGGTGACTAATGGTTCAGTTGTGGTTATATGTTTTTGACAAGGCTATTACAGCATGGAGGTACTCTTCTTGGTGTATTATCTCAGGGTGCAAAAGATAAATATGTTTTTATTACTGGTAATAAAATTATTTTCTTGGTTAAGATGGTGTTTCTAGATTTCTCCATTGTAAAATTATTATTTTCCTTTTGCGATTAATAAATATTTTGGAAGAGATACTTTTGATTATTTAAATACACTGTTTCTGTAGATGTCTATTAGGTCTGCTTGGTGCAGAGCTGAGTTCAATTCCTGGGTATCCTTGTTGACTTTCTGTCTCGTTGATCTGTCCAATATTGATAGTGGGGAGTTAAAGTCTCCCATTATTAATGTGTGGGAGTCTAAGTCTCTTTGTAGGCCACTCAGGACTTGCTTTATGAATCTGGGTGCTCCTGTATTGGATGCATATGTATTTAGGATAGTTAGCTCTTCTTGTTGAATTGATCCCTTTACCATTAGGTAATGGCCTTCTTTGTCTCTTTTGTTCTTTGTTGGTTTAAAGTCTGTTTTATCACAGACTAGCATTGCAACCCCTGCCTTTCTTTGTTTTCCATTTGCTTGGAAGATCTTTCTCCATCCTTTTATTTTGAGCCTATGTGTGTTTCTGCATGTGAGATGGGTTTCCTGAATACAGCACACTGATGGGTCTTGACTCTTTATCCAATTTGCCAGTCTGTGTCTTTTAATTGGAGCATTTAGTCCATTGACATTTAACATTAATATTGTTATGTGTGAATTTGATCCTCTCATTATGATGTTAGCTGGTTATTTTGCTCGTTAGTTCATGCAGTTTCTTCCTAGCCTCTATGGTCTTTACATTTTGGCATGATTTTGCAGCGGCTGGTATCAGTTGTTCCTTTCCATGTTTAGCGCTTCCTTCAGGAGCTCTTTTAGGGCAGGCCTGGTGGTGACAAAATCTCTCAGCATTTGCTTGTCTGTAGAGGATTTTATTTCTCCTTCACTTATGAAGCTTAGTTTGGAAGAATATGAAATTCCGGGTTGAAAATTCTTTTCTTTAAGAATGTTGAATATTGGCCCCCACTCTCTTCTGGCTTGTAGAGTTTCTGCCTAGAGATCCAATGTTAGTCTGATGGGCTTCCCTTTGTGGGTAACCCAACCTTTCTCTCTGGCTGTGCTTAACATTTTTTCCTTCATTTCAACTTTGGTAAATCTGACAATTATGTGTCTTGGAGTTGCTCTTCTCGAGGAGTATCTTTGTGGCATTCTCTGTATTTCCTCCACCCCAAATCAACAGTATATACATTTTTTTCAGCACCACACCACACCTATTCCAAAATTGACCACATACATGGAAGTAAAGCTCTCCTCAGCAAATGTAAAAGAACAGAAATTATAACAAACTATCTCTCAGACCACAGTGCAATCAAACTAGAACTCAGGATTAAGAATCTCACTCAAAACCACTCAACTACATGGAAACTGATGAGCCTGCTCCTGAATGAATACTGGGTACATAACGAAATGAAGGCAGAAATAAAGATGTTCTTTGAAACCAACGAGAACAAAGACACAACATACCACAATCTCTGGGACGCATTGAAAGCAGTGTGTAGAGGGAAATTTATAGCACTAAATGCCCACAAGAGAAAGCAGGAAAGATCCAAAATTGACACCTTAACATCACAATTAAAAGAACTAGAAAAGCAAGAGCAAACACATTCAAAAGCTAGCAGAAGGCAAGAAATAACTAAAATCAGAGCAGAACTGAAGGAAATAGAGACACAAAAAACCCTTCAAAAAATTAATGAATCTAGGAGCTGGTTTTTTGAAAGGATCAACAAAATTGATACACCGCTAGCAAGACTAATAAAAAGACAGAAGAATCAAATAGACGCAATAAAAAATGATAAAGAGGGTATCACCACCAATCCCACAGAAATACAAACTAGCATCAAAGAATACTACAAACACCTCTATGCAAATAAACTAGAAAATCTACAAGAAATGGATAAATTCCTTAACGCATACACTCTCCCAAAACTAAACCAGGAAGAAGTTGAATCTCTGAATAGACCAATAACAGGCTCTGAAATTGTGGAAATAATCAATAGCTTACCAACCAAAAAGAGCCCAGGACCAGATGGATTCATAGCCTAACTCTACCAGAGGTACAAGGAGGAAGTGGTACCATTCCTTCTGAAACTATTCCAATCAATAGAAAAAGAGGGAATCCTCCCTAACTCATTTTATGAGGCCAGCATCATCCTGATACCAAGGCTGGGCAGAGACACAGCCAAAAAAGAGAATTTTAGACCAATATCCTTGATGAACATTGATGCAAAAATCCTCAATACAATACTGGCAAACCGAATCCAGGAGCACATCAAAAAGTTTATCCACCATGATCAAGTGGGCTTCATCCCTGGGATGCAAGGCTGGTTCAATATACGCAAATCAATAAATGTAATCCAGCATATAAACAGAACCAAAGACAAAAACCACATGATTATCTCAATAGAAGCAGAAAAGGCCTTTGACAAAATTCAACAACACTTCATGCTAAAAACTCTCATTAAATTAGGTATTGATGGGACGTATCTCAAAATAATAAGAGCTATCTATGACAAACCCACAGCCAATATCATACTGAATGGGCAAAAACTGGAAGCATTCCCTTTGAAAACTGACACAAGACAGGGATGCCCTCTCTCACCACTCCTATTCAACATAGTGCTGGAAGTTCTGGCCAGGGCAGTTACGCAGGAGAAGGAAATAAAAGGTATTCAATTAGGAAAAGAGGAAGTCAAATTGTCCCTGTTTGCAGACGACATGATTGTATATCCAGAAAACCCCACTGTCTCAGCCCAAAATCTCCTTAAGCTAATAAGCAACTTCAGCAAAGTCTCAGGATACAAAATCAATGTACAAAAAACACAAGCATTCTTATACACCAATAACAGACAAACAGAGAGCCAAATCATGAGTGAACTCCCATTCACAATCGCTTCAAAGAGAATAAAATATCTAGGAATCCAACTTACAAGGGATGTGAAGGACCTCTTCAAGGAGAACTACAAACCACTGCTCAAGGAAATAAAAGAGGATACAAACAAATGGAAGAACATTCCATGCTCATGGGTAGGAAGAATCAATATCGTGAAAATGGCCATACCGCCCAAGGTAATTTACAGATTCAATGCCATCGCCATCAAGCTACCAATGACTTTCTTCACAGAATTGGAAAAAACTACTTTATAGTTCATATGGAACCAAAAAAGAGCCCGCATCGCCAAGTCAATCCTAAGCCAAAAGAACAAAGCTGGAGGCATCACACTACCTGACTTCAAACTATACTACAAGGCTACAGTAACCAAAACAGCATGGTACTGCTACCAAAACAGAGATATAGATCAATGGAACAGAACAGAGCTCTCAGAAATAAAGCCACATATCTACAACTATCTGATCTTTGACAAACCTGAGAATAACAAGCAATGGGGAAAGGATTCCCTATTTAATAAATGGTGCTGGGAAAACTGGCTAGCCATATGTAGAAAGCTGAAACTGGATCCCTTCCTTACACATTATACAAAAATCAACTCAAGATGGATTAAAGACTTAAACGTTAGACCTAAAACCATAAAAACCCTGGAAGAAAACCTAGGCATTACCATTCAGGACATAGGCATGGGCAAGGACTTCATGTCTAAAACACCAAAAGCAATGGCAACAAAAGCCAAAATTGACAAATGGGATCTAATTAAACTAAAGAGCTTCTGTACAGCAAAAGAAACTACCATCAGAGTGAACAGGCAACCTACAGAATGGGAGAAAATTTTTGCAACCTACTCATCTGACAAAGGGCTAATATCCAGAATCTACAATGAACTCAAACAAATTTACAAGAAAAAAACAAACACCCCATCAAAAAGTGGGTGAAGGACATGAACAGACACCTCTCAAAAGAAGACATTTATACAGCCAAAAAACACATGGAAAAATGCTCACCATCACTGGCCATCAGAGAAATGCAAATCAAAACCACAGTGAGATACCATCTCACACCAGTTAGAATGGCAATCATTAAAAAGTCAGGAAACGACAGGTGCTGGAGAGGATGTGGAGAAATAGGAACACTTTGACACTGTTGCTGGGACTGTAAACTAGTTCAACCATTGTGGAAGTCAGTGTGGCGATTCCTCAGGGATCTAGAACTAGAAATACCATTTGACCCAGCCATCCCATTACTGGGTATATACCCAAAGGATAATAAATCATGCTGCTATAAAGACACATGCACACATATGTTTATTGTGGCATTACTCACAATAGCAAAGACTTGCAACCAACCCAAATGTCCAACAATGATAGACTGGATTAAGAAAATGTGGCACATATACACCATGTAATACTATGCAGCCATAAAAAAATGATGAGTTCACGTCCTTTGTAGGGACATGGATGAAATTGGAAATCATCATTCTCAGCAAACTATCGCAAGAGCAAAAAACCAAACACCACATATTCTCACTCGTAGGTGGGAATTGAACAATGAGAACACATGGACACAGAAAGGGGAACATCACACTCTGGGGACTGTCATGGGGTGGGGAGAGCGGGGAGGGATAGCATTGGGAGATATTCCTAATGCTAGATGACGAGTTAGTGGGTGCAGCACACCCGCTTGGCACATGTATACATGTGTAACTAACCTGCACATTGTGCACATGTAACCTAAAACTTAAAGTTTAATAATAATAAATTAAAAAAAAATAAATACACTGTTTCTGTTCAAACATTCACCTAACAATTTTAGCATCCATCAGTGAATTTTGCTTATGACACTTACTACTGTTGTATTCCAATGGTGATTTCTATTTCCCTAATTCCTGAAAAATTTATTCTAGTAATTATTACATTACTTACTTATATCAGAGTTCCATGACAATTAATTTTATTCTATGAATTAGAACCCAATGTTTTTGTTACTTAATTTGTTGCTCAAATTAATTTCGGCAATTGGAAGCTCTTTTCAATGGTTTTCATAATTTTATTGAACAGGTTTCTACCTTTTGGTATTTTGAGCAATTTCTTACTTTATGGTACTAGCGAATATTCCAGACACGTCTTTTGTTAAAATGGATTCGTCAGAAACTCATGCTTAATGTTTTTCTGTGACAAGACTTGATGTTTTTCTATGAAAATCTTGAATAAATATTTTAGTATAAATCATGGAATAAGAGTTAAATTGCTTTTAAATGTTTTCCTTCTGTAAACTTGTAATAAGTAGAGTACTGGAAACTTACTTTGTCCCGATGATAACTTTAAGTCTTCCAAGGCTATGGATGTTACCTATGAAGACAGGCCAGGCAGTAACGCTCCCTTACCATATGTGGTGAAGAGGAAACAAGATAAAGTTACTAATCTTCCCAAACTCCAGGGTATCTAAAAATTCTTGGGTAATGAAAGATTAAATTGATCAGGTAGCTATTCATTCACAACACTGGTGGACATTGAATAATGAGGTCAGGGAATTGAAAAGGGTCCCCTGATCCCAAGCAGATTGGGAGCTAAGAAGAGAACACATCAACTGAATCTTTACAAAATAGAATCGAAGCTTTAAAAGCTAGTAATTACAATTGGACATTTAAAAACATGTATTTATATTAGCATTAAAACATAACACACTTTGAGATAAAGTATTAGGAGTCAATGGCAGTTACGGGGGCTACGAGAAGAGGAGGATAAGGGGTTTTTGTATAATGGATACAGAATTCTCATTTTATAAGAGGAAAAAGAGTTCTGGAGCTAGGCAGGAGTGATGCCTGCACAACATTATGAATGTATTTACTCACGGTGAACTTTAAACTAAAAAATAGTTAAGATGGTAAATTTTATGGTATGAATATTTTACCACAACAAAAAAAAGTTTAAAAATGTTATGAATCAGAGTATTTCAAGGACTCATAAAACTATAAAGCATTGCTTAGAGAAATCAAAGAAACCCTACATAAATAGAGACATATATTGTGGTCTTGGATCAGAAGACTGGATATAGTTAAGAAATCATTTTCTCCCAATTTAGCTATATATTCAGTGCAACTCTAAGCAAAACTATCAGGTTCTTAAGAAAATTAACAAACTGTGAATCCATCTGGTCCTGGACTTTTTTTGGTTGGTAAGCTATTAATTATTGCCTCAATTTCAGAGCCTGTTATTGGTCTATTCAGATTCAACTTCTTTCTGGTTTAGTCTTGGGAGGGTGTATGTGTCGAGGAATTTATCCATTTCTTCTAGATTTTCTAGTTTATTTGCATAGAGGTGTTTGTAGTATTCTCTGATGGTAGTTTGTATTTCTGTGGGATCGGTGGTGATATCCCCTTTATGATTTTTTATTACAGCTATTTGATTCTTCTCTCTTTTCTTCTTTATTAGTATTGCTAGCGGTCTATCAATTTTGTTGATCTTTTCAAAAAACCAGCTCCTGGATTCATTGATTTTTTGAAGGGTTTTTTGTGTCTCTAGTTCCTTCAGTTCTGCTCTGATCTTAGTTATTTCTTGCCTTCTGCTAGCTTTTGAATGTGTTTGCTCTTGCTTCTCTAGTTCTTTTAATTGTGATGTTAGGGTGTCAATTTTAGATCTTTTCTGCTTTCTCTTGTGGGTATTTAGTGCTATAAATTTCCCTCTGCACACCTACAGAATGGGAGAAAATTTTCACAACCTACTCATCTGACAAAGGGCTAATATCCAGAATCTACAATGAACTCAAACAAATTTACAAGAAAAAAACAACCCCATCAACAAGTGGGTGAAGGATATGAACAGACACTTCTCAAAAGAAGACATTTATGCAGCCAAAAAAGACATGAAAAAATGCTCATCATCACCGGCCATCAGAGAAACGCAAATCAAAACCGCAATCAGATACCATCTAACACCAGTTAGAATGGCGATCATTAAAAAGTCACGAAACGACAGGTGCTGGAGAGGATGTGGAGAAATAGGAACACTTTTACACTGTTTGTTGGACTGTAAACTAGTTCAACCATTGTGGAAGTCAGTGTGGCGATTCCTCAGGGATCTGGAACTAGAAATACCATTTGACCCAGCCATCCCATTACTGGGTATACACCCAAAGGATTATAAATCATGCTGCTATAAAGACACATGCACACGTATGTTTATTGCGGCACTATTCACAATAGCAAAGACTTGGAACCAACCCAAATGTCCAACAATGATAGACTGGATTAAGAAAATGTGGCACATATACACCATGGAATACTATGCAGCCATAAAAAATGATGAGTTCACATCCTTTGTAGGGACATGGATGAAGATGGAAACCATTATTCTCAGCAAACTATTGCAAGGACAAAAAACAAAACACCGCATGTTCTCATTTATAGGTGGGAATTGAACAATGAATACACATGGACACGGGAAGAGGAACATCACACACAGGGGACTGCTGTAGGGTAGGGGGAGCGGGGAGGGATAGCATTAGGAGATATACCTAATGTTAAATGATGAGTTAAAGGGAGCAACACACCAACATGGCACATATATACATATGTAACAAACCTGCACGTTGTGCACATGTACCCTAAAACTTAAAGTATCAAAATAATAATAAAATTAAAAGAAAAGAAAATTAACAAACTAAGTATAAAATTTATATCTAAATGTAAATGATCTAGAATAATCAAAACATCTTTGAAAAAATGCAAAGTACGCGAACTGAACATAACGTGATTTTGAGATCTGTTATAAGGATAAGTTAATCAAGTCAGTGTTGTATTCGTGTAAACATAAACAAAATAAACCAATGGAACAGAAGAGAAAGTCCAGAAATAGACCAAAAGATACATGGACAACTGGTTTTTGATAAAGATAGAAAGGCAATCTATTAGAGAAAAGAAGGCCTTTTCTACAAATGATGCTGGATATCCATACACAAAAATATTAACTTCAGTTCTTTGTACTCTATAAAAATTATAACTTAAAGGAATCATAAGTTTAACTGCAAACCATAAAACCATAATTCTTCCATAATAAAACACAGGAGAATATTGTTTTGACCTTTTCAGGCAACTATTTCTTATATATGACACCAAAAGTAAGAATTCTGCTCTTTCGACAAAACTGTTAAGAGAGTGAAAGGAAAAGCCTCGGGATGGGAAATGGGATTTGCTAATATTGTATGTAATAAAAGGCTTAATTAGAATATAAAAAATCATGAAAATTCAATACTAAGAAAAAAAACCGCCCACTAAAAGAGGGCAAATGGTTTTAACAGACACTTCACCAAAGAGTACATATGGATGACATATCATTTTCTGAAAAAATCATCACAGTTTAACTTAAAATTTTACATCAAAGTACATTAACAGGCTTACAGTTTCCATTCTAAGTTGTAAAACCATGAAAGTCATCATCCCCCATTCTCACAACAGGAAAAAAGCCAAACTAACTGAAAATGAACAACTCTTCTTAGACCCATCAGAGAATCGGGGTCACAGGACAAACTACCTCCCTGAAAACCACGGGGTGGGAGACAGGTGAACATAGAGAATCAAAATTAACTGGAAGGAGAAGACACAGTTAGAGCCAGCAACTGCTAGAAACATTTAAACTGTAATTGACTAAGTGATGGAGGCTGAGCTGTTAACTAGCTGAGATTCAAACTCCCGGGGCTCAGGCTTTGGAGGGAGAGGCACCCACAACTTACTGAGTTTTACCTTCAGGGATTCCACTAGAGACTTAGGGTGAAGGCTGCAGAAAAATTCCTTCCTGCTTCTGGCAGGGTGGCAGGAAAACTAACCATTTTGAAATACTATTTTAAATTAATATTTTATCAGAACGTGCCTGACCTCGAGAAAAAAAAAAACAAAAAACTATCCAATGCCAGCCCAATTTGCTTTCAACATGGAGAAGAAAAATGTCCAACTCCAGCCTCAACTAGCCTGTTTGCCTCTTCTCAGGGAAGACTGGAGGTTGACATTGGGGAGTAGAAGCTGAGAGTGCTTGTGAGGTCACAGCCCTGGAACACATCTCACTGAAATAGTGAGATCTAACACAGGATTATACGATGTTCCCTTCTACCCACCCACCCACATTACCACCACTTTAACAGAGCTCCTGTGTAATGGCAGAAGAATACAACTTAAAGAACTGCAAGACTTAGACACTTCCCAAGGAGGAATATCTAGGGAAACCCACACACAAAAATGAGGGGTAAAAGATGCTAAAAGAAATTTTAGTCTCTGCCACCTACAATTATACCAAACAATAAAACAATCTAATTACCACTCAGATAAATGTAAGACCATCTGTTACATGTCTATTTACCTCAGCTCTTTTCACTATCTAAATGTCCTCCAGTGTTCAACAAAGAAATGCAAGGTATCCTCAAAAAACAGTGTAACGAGACAAACAGAAAATATCAAAACCAAACTCAGATATGGCAGAGATTTGGGGATTATCTGGCTTGGAATTTACAATTACCGTGCTCAACCTGTTAAGGGTTCTACTAGAAAAAGTGGGTGACATGCAACAGTAATGTAAGCAGACAGATGGAAATGTGAATAAGGAAACAAAACAAAATGCTAGAAACTGAAAATACCATAGCAGAAATAAACACTGTCTTTGATGGGCTCATCAGTAGACTTCACATATCTGAGGAGAAATCAGTGAGCTTGAAAATATATCAATAGAAATTTCCCACATTGAAAGGAAAATAGAAAAAAAAACTTTAAAAAAGAACAGAATAGCACATAAAAGTGGAGCAATCTTAAAAGGCATAACAAAACATATGATTAACAGGAAAAGTTGAAGAGGGAATGGAGAACAGTGCAAAAGAAATATTCAAAGTAATAATAGCCAAAAACTTTCTTAAATAAAAGACAGACACCACTAGGCCGGCCGAAGCCAGATGGTGAGCATAAAGTTCAATCCCTTCATCACCTTAGACCACAGCCAAAACTGCAAATGTCACTTCACTGGCCCCTCACATGTGCACAGGAACATCTTGCCGTCCCTGCTCTCCCAGCATGATATCCCAGCAAGGAGCTGAAGCAGAAGCACAGTGTCCACTCCATGCCCATCCTCAAGGATAAAGAGGTCCAGGTGGTTGGAAGACACTACAAAGGTCAGCAAATCAGCAAGGTGGTCCAGATGTACATAAATAAATGTCATCTACACGGAGTGGGTGCATTGTGAGAAGAACCAATGGGACCGCCGTCTTTGTGGGCATTCGCCCGAGCCAGGTGGTTATCACAGGCTAAAGCTGGACAAGAAATGGGAAAAAGTTCTTGAGTGCAAAGCCAAGTCTTGACAAGTCAGAAAAGAGAAAGGCAAACATAAGGAAGAACTTACTGCGAAAATACAGGAATGAATAGAACCTGCTGTGTGATGATGGTTTACCTGTAGAATTTTAGCCTAGTGCGTGTTTCTTTGGCACTTTTGAGATGTCTCTGGAACATTTCGTTTCCCTGTTTTGTTATTGATCTATGGCTCTAGATCAATAACAAATAGTTTAACAGACATTTCACCAAAGAGTACAAAGAGTGTCTGTTAAAACTCTAGATGTTGCAATTTTGATTAATAGTGTGATGAATAAAAATTGGAAATGTTTCCTAAGTCCAAGTGCTATTTGAATTGTTTTATAAATGAAATCCTCTATCCAAAACAAAAACAAAAACAAAAACTAAAACCGACACCAAACCACCCATACAGGAGGCTCAGAGAACATAATGTGGGGTAAGTAAAATCAATCAATCAGTAAAAAATGCCCAGACAGATCATATTCAAATTTTCGAAAACGAAACATCTTGAAAGCAGCCAGAAAAAAAGAGCATCTTAGCTAAGGAGAAACAAGGGTAAGAATTACAGAGAACCTCTTGTCAGAAACCATGCAACCAAAACAGTACGAGGTAAAATATTTAAAGTTTTGAAAGGGAGAAAAATTCACCTAAAACCTGTACCTTAAAAAATGAAGAGACCGGAAGACTTTACCTGACAAACAAAAATGGAGGAAATTTATGACCAAACCACCTTATTATGTGGCCATGGCAGGGGGCAGGATGGCGTTTTCTATAAAACTGAAATCCTAATAAATAGCTAGTGAGTAACGTGCAAATGGGCATGGTACTTACAGAAACTTGGGATGACTTCTCCAATGTTTACAATAACCGTATTGATTCAAAACATCGTCGTCAGTGCTAAGCTCCTGGAGACATTGGCGAGTACAGCCCTGAAGTCAGTAGGGACAGAAGCACGTGAATGAGTGTTGCTATGAGGTTTGAGATCTTCTGTAATATGGACAAGCACAGGAGGCTATAGAAGACTTCAGAGAAGATTCCTATTAGAGAAACTTTCCAGAGCCCTGAAATAAATGACGTGTCTGACTTTTCTCAGAGAGCATTTCAGGGAACAGCATATTTGTAGAAACGCCTAGAGGCAAAAGAGAGCTTGACAGATCCTTCAAGAAACTCAGGGTAGGACATCTGACTTTCACAGTGGAGAGCTGGTGGGTTCTAGCTGGAGGTAAGAAACATAGATGAAAGATTTTTAGTGAAAGCTGAATAGGTCAGTCCTGGCCATGCTGAATTCAGGGCCTAGGTAGAACCCAATGGTGAGGGAGCTTGGCAGGGAGTCTGATCCACAGGTACAGAAGCCTGGGGCAAGGGATGGGTTAGGCGCACAGACCTGAGATTAAGTAGCATAGACAGACAGGATGGGAGTGGTTGATGTCAGAAAAATCAGTGAAAACAAAAAGAGGAAAAGAAGATGGAGTTTTGCTGAGAGCCAAAAAACAGCACTGCCTCTTCATTTGCTGTATGATGGCTAAATCCATGAGGTGACATATCTGTGCCATTAGGGTTTTTCATAGGAGACAGGAGAGGTTTCTGGAGAAAAATATAAAAGCACCTTCAGGAAAATCTTAATTTAAGGTATACTTTGTACCCGTAAAATAAAATGTTTCTTTGTTACTGCATCAACTAACACTGCTGGGCAGTTTTTCCACAGATCTTGAGGACCTGATTTGAAACACAAGCTATATGACATCATCTTAATTCCACGTGGGTGACCTTGAGGATCCAGAATGGGAGAACTGGAGAATGCAGCTGACACAGAGCTACAATGGAAGCCAGTGAGATCTGGACAGAGAAAAATCCTCCCATGAGCCTAACAGTTTCTGGACTCAGACAACAATCCTCTTTTCACATCAGAAGACACAAATATGATCCACAAAATGTGCAGATACCTGGGAGAGAAGCCACTGAGTGCTGCAGGGACATTTCTGCAACAGAAATTCATATGTGGAGTGAAGATCAGTTACTTATCCAAGCAATGTTGGGTACGCCACCTAGTACTGTAGAACTGTTATATTCAAGGAATCATCAGTCTTTGATCTTAAGGACTTCAATTAATGGGATAAGGGCCACTCACATTATGGAGGGGAACCTGCTTTCCTAATTCAACGGATCACATATGTTCATCATATCCACAAATATCTTCACGGCAACATTCACCTTAGTGTTTGACCAAACTATCTGGCATCATAGCTTAGCCAAGTCTGTTGATAAATTTATCCATCACAAATACAACCCACAAGGTAGCACTTAGCATATTTTCCTAACTAGTGAATTCTTGGTTTAAAGTGTAGTCTGAAAAATACTGGTATACATGGCTAACTTTGTTGATAATTTCCACGTTAATACGCAACCAGAAATAAGGCTTACCCATTCCAAACAACTCACAGAGATTTTAAAACTCTAATAATGGCAATAATATTACTAAAGATAAATTAAATCTCATTTTTGGAGCTTAAGCTCATAAGAAACATCTTACACTACAGACAGTTCATCTTCCACACGTTTTTGTGTGATTTTGTCACCTATCATGTTTTTATGTATGATTATCAGCCTACAGCAGGATAAAGGACTCACTGGGTAAGTATATATAATAATTTATTCCAAATTTCAGCCAGTAATGAGAGAAACCCAACAATGCTTTACAAACTAATTCATATTTTTCTGATAATATTTAATAAATATTCATCTCAGTTTAGCATCAACTATGGCTGGCCTGTGAATGTGTACTGAAAAAGATAATGAACATTTTATCAGGATTAAATGTATGTAGCTTCTCTTTTATGATGGAAATTTGAACTTCCTTTTAATTCTAAGGAATAAAAGACAGTGTTGGGCATTATAGATACTATTGTTTATATATAATCTGTATGTACTTATCATAATATTTTATGTTTGACTGTAAACTGGTCAGAATAATTGAATTAGAAAAAGAACAAAAAAGCTTCTATTATTAGGCATGGTCCAAACATATATGAACATGAGTATTATTTTCATCCATTCTGCAGTCTGATTAAGGAGCTTGGAGACATTTCAGGTCTTTAGGAATAACCATTCTTCTTCCAAATACTGCTTAGGGGTTGTGTAGATTCTTCAATGAATTCCATGTTAGAGGTTGAATTGTGTTCACCTGAAATTCACATATCGAAGTCTTCAGATCATGATTGTGTTTAAGATAGGGTCTTTGAAGAGATTATTAAATTAAATGAGGTCATTAGAGTGGGCGCTAATCCAATAGGTCTGGTGGAAAAGACCTAAGGAGAGGAGACTAGAATACAGAGAAACACAGAGGGACGACCATGTCAGGACATAGGGAGAAGATGGTCATCTACAAGCCAAGGAGAGAGGGCTCCAGAGAAACCAACCTTGCTGACAGATACCTTGTATAGGTTTTGTGTGTGAGAGAGATACTTTGTTATGGCAGCCCCAGGAAAGAGCTGAAGTCCATATCTACAAGTGAGCATGGATTTATCCATCTAAGGATTTCAACTTTCCCATTTTAAACATGTCCATAATATAATTCTGCAACTTGCAGATATTAAGTTTTTGTCTACGTGTTGCAGAAGAACAAACTGAGGCAAAAACACAACCGAATGATTACTTCCGCATGCACAGAGAACAGGGGAGCTGGCGCAGGAGCACTGGTTCCTCTCCAACACACAGATGTCCAAGGGGCTTGATATATTATTTGCAGGTGGCCCCATACCATTTTCAGTCAAGGGAAATACATTAAAACATACAGTTTTTTTTTCAGTCGGTCATGGGGGATTGTCACGCAAATGGCAATATTTTAGACTTTCACAATGCCTTCCATGAACACGTTCATTTGGGTAACAATGGGAATAGTTTATACTATTTTAGAGTTTTAGAACTACAAAGACAACTAAGATAGCTTTTCAGAATTCTAAATATCACATATAAGGGCATGGAAAAAGTTAATTCACATTTTGGGGGATACACAGCTCGTTAGTGCTGCAAACAATGGCAGAAGATAAATCTGGAGTGACAATCTGATACTCTATAATGCAGCTTAGGTCATGGATTACCTCCTGTGCTAGCAAATATCATCACCATGCTAATTGTTCTCGAATATTATGCATCAGAATCACTTGCAGGATTTGTTAAAATCATAGAATTTAGGGCCTTATCCCAAGAATCTCTGTTTTAGCACATCTGGGTTGGGGCTTGATAGTTTGCATTTTCCTAAGTTTCCAGGTCATGCCGATGCTATTGAGCCGGAGACCACCCTTTGGAACCACCTCTTATACTATGTTCATTTTATAATACACATCATCATTTCTTCTTGCTTATGCACCCAAACCCTCTAACATCATAATTGTCTCCTATCAACCTCACAACCACTCACATTTGCAACTGTAAATAGGCAGGCCTGGCTTTGACGCAGGGAACAACGCTTTCTTGTAAGACAAACATCGTCAGTAATGGATGTGCGCACTCTGTCTTCACCCCAACACTACTTTCAAGGTCTCCTATGAGGTGAGGTATCCTTCATTCATCTGTTGAACAGCAAATCTTTTGGATTCATATTTTATTGTAGATGCAAACAAACAATACAAGATGATAATTGTTGTAACAGAAAAATGTGAAGAGTGTCAAATAAGCAAAGAAGGTAAAACAGAAGTCTTGAAGTTCAAAGACTGGAGTAGCACTTGACATTATGCTTAGGGAATGGAGAATGGGTGGGGTTTCCATAGGTTGACAAATTGAGAAGGAAATTTGTGAATAAAATGCCTAAAATGTAATTTAGTGGTTCATTTCACTCATTTACTCATTCATTTATTCATTCAGCAGATCTATTGACTCCCCCGGCCAAATTTTCACTAGATAACAAACTCTAAGGCATTAGGCATGAAAAATAACTGAGCACATATTTCCGCTTTCAGTGACAGGGCAAACAGCATTGTGAGTGTTTTAATGGTAATGTGGCCAGATTTCCTTTAGAACACTGTGGAAGAGTGATTAATTTGTCCTGAGGAAATTGGCATATCTTCCTAGGAGGGAAGAGTTAGTTGGAGAATATACTACCTTGGCTTTAAATCATTAACTATATTTACAATCGGAGTATGTAGCTAACATGAGCTAATTTTGCAACAAATAAATTCACACATGTATTAGGACTCAAATGAAATCTCATGGTTATTCTTGTTAGACAACACTAAGCTTTCTCTGCCAGGGTGATACATGGATCCAGGCTCCTTCCATGGTGTAGTTCTGGGGGCCTTCTGGCCCTTCACACCACCTGTGTCCACCCAGCAGAATGAGAAATGACAATTTAGAGCGGCAGTGGCAGGTGCCTATGAGCTGTTCGGTTCTTCTGCTCACCTTACGTTAACTAGAAATCAGTCGTGTGGCTACAATGAACTGTAAGAGAGAATTGGAAATGTAGTGTAGTTGATCCAGGGAGAAGAAGAAATCCAGGATTTGAGAAAAGGATACTTGGTATAATAGTAGGTGCAAATGCATGGAGTTACAAGGAAAGCTTCCAAAACAACAATTTCCTTAATTACAGCTCAGCTGTTTGCTGGGCAAGCTGTGCAACAATTACATCACCAAGAATTAGAAGTGCAGCTAAGTAGAGTGACTTAGGTTATGCATTTTAGATTAATTCTAAGTGTAAGGAATAATTATTCAACACACTGTATGCTAATGAGTTATTGTTGGTCTTAGAAATCTCATGAACAAAGTTATATTTTATAAGCAATTTCAGGACATATTTGTCATCATTTGATACAGCAGCAACCCTAACCCAGACCTTACATGAATCTACTGAATGTAGTCTGTGCACTTGTGGGGAAATGGAAAGCAAGCATGTTAAGTGATGTCCCTAAAGTCACACAACCAGATAGAGCCAGATGTGGAATTTAACCCACATTCCTTGAACTCTGATGATTTTTCTTTCTACCATGTTAGAAGTTACAGAGAGGCTTTACAGAACCCACAGAAGCTAGAAGCAGAGATGGGCACTAAGTCTGCATTTTCCTACAGGAATTTTCCTAGTTGGTGCTGGGTTTTGCTCAAGAGTCAGAGGTATCTGATATTTGTAAGATTTTCTTTAAATAAAGATGCACAGACTGTTAGTGGAAGATTTTGCAAAAAGGTAATGAAAATCCTGTGAGTGAAAGGCATTGATGGAGAAACAGGTTTTCCAAATCTAGTGGGACTTTACCATAATGTCACTGGCAGCTGCAGACCCATAGGAATCTCAGGGGACCCAGCCAGAGCCATATGCTGGCACCTGTTCCTGTCCTGAGGGAGCCCAGTGTTCCAATGAAATTTTGATTTCTTGGCTGATTATGTAAAATTAACATGTGTATTTGTGGTAGTAATATATATTAACTGAATAGTAAACGTTAGTAAGACTGGCATATACATATATACAGAAATGGTTCCAAATGCAACTATCTGTATCTATATTAAGCTCTATATGAGTTCATAGCGAGGTCTGCAACTTGAATCTGTACCTCATGCACCACTGTAACCTCCTCTCATTGCTTGTATGTAACCTCCCACTGCAACAGTAGGAAACCAGGCTCCCATAATCCACTACTCATTTACTTAATTGTTTACTACCAGTATAAATTTAGACTGGTTTTAGAATTGTTTATACATATCCCCAGGCTGGACATGGAGACTCACACCTGTAATCTCAGCACTTAGGGAGGCCAAGGCAGGTGGATCCCTTGGGTCCAGGAGTTCAAGACCAGCCTGGGTGACATGGAGAAATCCTGTCTCTACAAAAAAATACCAAAATTAGCTGGGCATGGTTTTGCATGCCTACAGTTCCAGCTACTCAGGAGGCTGAGGCAGGAGGATCAATTGAGCCTGGGAGTTGGAGGTGGCAGTGAGTTGAGACTGCATCACTGCACTCCAGCCTGGGCGACAGAGTGAGACCCCACCTCAAAAGAGAAAAAAAATACATATTCCCACTTTGGAAAACAAATTACTCTAAATGTTGAATGCACTAAAGTGTACTCTATTTATTTATTTTCACAGTCTTGCTCCATTGCCCAGGCTGGAGTGCAGTGGTGCGATCTCAGCTCACTGCAACCTCCACCTCCTGGATTCAAGCAATTCTCCTGTCCCAGCCTCCCAAGTAGCTGGAACTACAGGCGCCTGCCACCACGCCCTGCTAATTTTTGTATTTTTAGTAGAGACAGGGTTTTACCTTGTTTATCAGGCTGGTCTCGAACTCCTGACCTCAGGTAATCCACCCACTTCAGCCTCCCAAACTGCTGGGATTACAGGCGTGAGCCACCGAACCCGGCCTAAAGTTTACTCTTTATGCCGTAAAGTTCTATGGGTTTGACAAAAGTGTCACGTGGCCACGATCATTGTTTCACATAGCCCTTACATTTCCCCTGTGTCTCACCTAGTCAGCCTTCCCTCATACAAAAAATGGAACCTTGGCAACACTGATGTGCTTAGCATGTATCTACAGTTTGCCTCTTCTAGAATGTCATGTAAATGAGATATGGACAATACAGCATCTCACACTGCCTTCGCTAACTCAGCAATGCACATAGGAAGTTCATTCACGCCTTATTGTGTAAGGTACTTCAGGACTCCAATTTACTTATCCTTTCACCTATTGAAGGGCCTCTTAGATGCTTCCAATTTGGGGCAATCATACAATAAACTGCCAGAAACAGTTACATCCTATTTTTTAAGCGGACATAAGTTTACAAATCATTGGAGTAAATATCTGAGAATGCAACTAATGTGTAGTATGGTGACAGTATGCTTAGCTTTACAAGAAACTGTCAAGTTATCTTCCAAGGTACTGTAAGAGTTTGCATTCCCACCAGCAATGAATGAGAGAGTCCCTATTGTTTCATATCCTTATCAGTAGTTGGTATTGTCAAGATTTCTGGTTTGAAGTAATTAATAGATGTGTAATAGCATCTCATTGTTGTGCTAATTTGCATTTCCCTGATGACAAATAATGTTAAGCTTCTTTCCATGCTTGTTTGCAATCTCTGTATCTTGTTTGGGGAGGTGTCCATTTAGATGGTTTGCCTACTTTTTAATTGAGTTTGTTTTCTTATTGTTGAATTTGAAAAGTATTTCTTTGCATATTTTAGATAAAAGTCCTTCATCAGATATATGTATTGAAAATATTTCTTCCATTGTGTGGCTTTTGTTTAGATTCTCTTAATAGTGTCTTTTATAAACAAGTTTTTGTTTTAATAAAGTCCAAAGCAACATTTTTAAAAATTTCATTAATGGTTCTTTCAGTATGAATCTAAAAGCTCAGAACAAAATTCAAAGCCATTTGTATTTTTTCCTACATTTTGTTCAAGAAGTTTTAGACCTTTGCACTTTAATCATAGGTGTGTGAGATAGGTGATGTCAATTTTTTTTGAAAGGTTTAAGGTCTCTGTATAGGCTCTCTTTCTTCTTTTTTTAAAACTATAAACACACTAATCTTTCCAGCACCATTTGTTGAGAGGACTTTCCTTTCTTCATTGAATTGCCTTTGTGCTTTTTTTTTCCAAAGATCCGTTCACTATATTTTGTGAGTCTATTTTTAGATTGCATTTTGTGTTTCATTGATCCATGTACCTATTCTTTCACCAATACCTTACTGTCTTGATTAATGTAGCTTTACAGTAAGTCTTGAAATTTATTAGTGTTGGTCCTTCAACTTTGTTCTTCTTCAGTATCATGCTTGTTATTCTAGAGTTTTGCCTTTCTATTTAAACGCTGGTGTCAGTTTGTCGATATCTACAAAATAGCATGCCAGGGTTTTGACTGGCATTGCCTTGGATCTATATATTAATTTCGGAAAAATGAACATCTAAATGATATCAAATGTTTCAGTCCATGACCAGGGAATATCTCTCCAGTTATTTAAATCTTCTTTGATTTCTTTCATTAACGTCTTATATCATTGACTTTTAAAAATTACAATTCTTAATTAAACAGCCAAATTTTAAGGGTTTTTCACATGCTTTCCTAAAATAGATAAAGCAATCTTCAGGATAATATTGAAATAAAAACACCCATCTAGCCAGCATTGGCTGCCTTAATTATAAATCTTCAAATGTCATCCTAATATTGGTTTATTTCAAATTGGCTAGCTGTGTTAGCTCAGTTCCTGCAGAAAGCAGAGTCAAGACAGAGATTAACATGCTAACACTTCACTTAGGTGCAAACTCAGGAAAGCATAAAGAGAAAATCAAAGTGAGGCGAAGAAAGATGCACATGAATTCGATCTGTTTTCAGGCTAGGCATTGTTTCAAAACAGTCCTCCAAGAGTCTCAGCAAGTCTTCACATAGGACTTTTGCTTGAAAGCTACATGGAGTTCTACCTTTGAGTGACTCACAGGAGAGAGAAAAATGAGGGAGTTTATCTGCCCAAGGTTTTTCTAACGTCTATTTCTCCTTGAGCAGGGTCCCCCATGGGAAGCCAACTCTTCCGCAACTCCCCTTTATGTCAGCCAGTGTGTCAGCAGCTGAAGAATGCAAACGGAACCCCTCAAGCTGAAGTGCTTTCACAAAACCCTAAAGTGCAGTGATTGCGCTGCAAAGGTTAGACACCAACCAAAAGAGAGAAAGAAAAAGACAGTTGAGAGAGTCTGACCCAGCACACAGGGGTCATTTCCCAACACATCCCTCAAGGCTAAAACATACTTGCAGCATACTTCAGAGATTAAAGAGGAGTTTGCAGAAGTTGTTGAAATTTCTTTTATTCAACAGTATCTTCATCCCCTAACTTAAAGTGTCCTTGTTCTGGCTTCCAGTACCTACAAATGCCATTGGCTCTACTTGTGCTCTTGGCCTTCAAATGCCCTTCCTCTGTACCCAGGAACACGGCTGTGCTCATTTTTTTCTTTTCACATGCATAGGATGTAACTTTCCTTATTTCTCCCCCACATGATAACTTGCTTTTCTAAATGAGTTTTAGGTTAAATAAATAAAGAAGTTTTGAAAAGTTTGAGTTAAAAATGAAAATTTTAACTGCTGCAGCATATGCTTTCCCGAAGTGGGTAAATTATTTGAGAAGAAATGTAAAATGACTTTCCATAGTGTCCTAAGGCATGGTGACATTACCTAAAATAATTTACCCATGTTCCTTTCATACGAGAAGTAGAACTGCATCATAAGGACAAACATAACCATTACAGTGAGCTTAAGAAGAAGACAGATGAGAGGTGAGACGGTGGTGCAAAGAGACTGTGGATATGTTGGGCTCTTATGTGGGTTAATTGATAGGGTCCCTTTTTTTTCTATTTTTACTTTAATTTCTGGAGCTTTTATTTTCTTAAATATGGATCTTTAAGAGTTATTGTGTGTGACATCAAAGTCAGACAACAAACATTTTGCATTAGACCTTATAGTAGCTCTGAGAAAGAGAGAACAAGCCACACAGCAATTTGTAAGGTCCGCTTAGCTCCATTTGAAGACTGGACCCATGGTCCCAACTGGGAACAGGAGCTCCTCCTCTAACTTTAGTGGAGCTGTGGAGCAGGCAGGCGAGGAGGAGAAAAAAATACCAAGAAGCTTTTCCACCACTGCCTTGTTCTCTATTCAGTGTTTGCTGTAGGTCTTCGACTGTTTCTCAGAGCTCTGACAAGGTGAGTTCTGACAGTTTCTTCTTGTTTTTTAAAATGTCTTTGTGGGGGCCAGGAGCTTGAAGCAGCTTATCTCACTATTTTGCTGACATCATTCCTCATTCTTAATTCATTTTTAGATTCGGTCAATTTTAATGAGAACTAATATTTTTATGGAGATAGAACAAAGGTCTATTAAGAAAAAATGTGATTTTTCTCCTAAATTGAAATTAAAATTGAACAAATTGAATATTCATCTGGAGGTTCACAACAGCATTCCACTTACTTCCCTTATTAGTTTCCATGCCATTTTTACTGATTTCTTTCAAGATAGCTTATATGATACTTTTAATATCTCATTTCAGTTAAGAATTATAATCTAATATTATAAAAATTCTCTTGTATCATTTTAACTTTATAACTCTATATTATAAAATATATAATAGTATATGAAAACAGTTAAAATATAATTTTATTAATATTTTCTTATTTAATATTAGTATTATTTCCAAATATTATTGATGCACCATTTTTAGTCTTCATTGATCAAAACTCATGAACAAGTAAAAAATATTGGACATAAGAGAAGAGAAATGTCTTAAAAGTGGCAATGCATTAAGAATATGATAAATATCCTATCAGGGAAGCAGGGCCCTCACATCTACCACCCAACCTGAGGCTATTTATTTTACATTTCCTATTATAAGGTGATGGCATGTTTCAATAAAACTTTCCAAAATATAAAAAAGTACAAACATAAGATTCAGGTTTTAACATAAATGGTTAAAAATTAAAAATCGTTCTCCCTTTTCTTCTCTTCAAAAGCAAGAGGAGTGAGAAACCATTCTGCCCAAGGGAGGCACAGCCTGTGTTTGTCAGACACATTACAGGGAGGGACACTGAGACCCATGAGGACAAATCAGCACGCAGGAAGAAACAGACCATGATCTGTGGTTACAAACATAGAAATCCAGCAAAGGAGTCTCCTCCAACACAGGTGTGACACCTGAGTAGCAGCCTCGGTAATAACTATGCCATGGAGATCCACTGGCTGGCAGGGGACTCTTCTTAAGACTTGCTAGCCAGCAACGCAGCTTTGCCCTCTTCACTCAGTTTTTTTTTTTTTAAAAAAAAAAACAAAACAAAACAGCTCAATCAAGAAATACTAAGGAATAGCGGAAATAACAATTGCAAAAATGAGTCTAGGATGACTACAAACAAAAATCCACAAATATTAAAAATTTAAAAATCTAAAGAAAAGAAAGAATAAGCAAACCAAAGGGGAAAATAACACGAGAAATGCATGGCAGCCAAAAGCACTCTATTGGCAACTCTTTCCAGAAAGTAGATTCCAATTATATTCCTATTCATTAAGGAATAGAAACCTAAAGCAACCACTTTCATAAAATAAAAGAAGGATAAGAAATGCAACCGCTTAGGTAAGTCATGGTTGACAAAAGAAAGTGAAACATGACTGGCAGTGTACAGGAAAAGGTGGAAAAAATACAACTATATGTGGAATGAAAGTCACATTGAAAGCTAAACAAACAATATTGCTGAGAACACAGGAAGAAGAAAGGATACGGAAACAAAAGAACAACAAATTAAACACAAATACTTTATAAATATTGTAAATAAATTACACATATGAAGATAGACCAAGGATATTCAGCATATACAAGGATACCAGCATATCTGGTGTTCACTGAATGAAGACTTAAGGTCATCGCAAAAAATACATGTGATTATAATTAAAAAAACATTTTTAAAGAAATAAAACAATACTTCATAGCACACATTGAAAAGGCACACTGTATTCCCTCTAAGAACAACGTGAAGATATTCTATTAAAGGTGCTGCATGCTAGAACTAAAGAAAAAAAATATTTGGGGGCTCAACACAAAAAGAATAATTAACTTAAAAGGGTCAAATACTACGGTGGCTTCACATTCTTGACAGCACCTTCAATTCTTGAAGAGTAACATTGCATCCAACAACATCGAGAAAAGTGTCACTCAATAGTTTTATAGTCAATTTGGCATTCACTTATAATAGACCTACCACTAAATACGAAATAATTATAAAAATATTGTTACAAAAATCCTTTCCTGGCAAAAATACCAGATAGAAAACCTTGCAAACAAACAACTGGAAAAATGATTTGAGGAGGGGAGTATTAAAATTATTTAAATGTAGAGCTAAAACTAACAGAAATAGATATTCATAGTTACATTGTGGAATATGAATATTACAAATGCTGAAAACACAGCTAGGTATATGTAATGAAAATTGAGAGGTGAAAAATGAAAGAAGTGGGGAGGTAGCTAGGGTCATATAAGTGTAATTATCTTAAAAATAAAAGCACTAAGCAAAAAATAAGAATAAAAATCTATACAGTGACAGAGGGGAAGGTGTCAGGCCTCTGAGCCCAAGCTAAGCCATCATATCCCCTTTGACCTGCACATACACATCCAGATGACTGGTTCCTGCCTTAATTGATGACATTATCTTGTGAAATTCCTTCTCCTGGCTCATCCTGGCTCAAAAGCTCCCCTACTGAGAACCTCATGACCTCCATTCCTGCCTGCCAGAGAACCCCCCTTTTTCCTTTACCTACCCGAATCCAATAAAGTGGCCCCACCCTCATCTCCGTTTGCTGACTCTCTTTTCAGACTCAGCCCGCCTGCACCCAGGTGAAATAAACAGCCTTGTTGCTCACACAAAGCCTGTTTGGTGGTCTCTTCATGTGGACACGCATGAAATTTGGTGCTGTGACTCGGACTGGGGGACCTCCCTTGGAAGATCAATCCCCTGTCCTCCTGCTCTTTACTCTGTGGAAAAGACCCACCTATGACCTTAGGTCCTCAGACCCACCAGCCCAAGGAACATCTTACCAATTTTAAATTGGGTAAGCGGCCTCTTCTTCCTTTCTTCTCCAACCTCTCTCACTATCCCTCAACCACTTTCTCCTTTCAATCTTGGCGCCAACCTTCAATCTCTCCCTTCTCTTAATTTCAATTCCTTTCATTTTCTGGTAGAGACAAAGGAGACACGTTTTATCTGTGGACCTAAAACTCCGGCACCGGTCACGGACTCTGGAAGGCAGAGTTCCCTTGGTGTTTAATCATTGCAGGGACACCTCTCTGATTATTCACCCACCTTTCACAGGTGTCTGACCACGTGGGGACGCCTGCCTTGGTCCTTCACCCTTAGTGGCAAGTACCGCTTTTCTGGGGGGCAAGAACCCCCCAACCCCTTCTCTCTGTGTCTCTACCCCTTCTCCACTTTTCTGGGGGGCAAGAAGCCCCCAACCCCTTCTCCTTCACCCTTAGCGGCAAGTACCGCTTTTCTAGGGGGCAAGAACCCACTGATCCCTTATTTCCACACCCTGACCTCTTATCTGTGCACCCTGATCCCTTATTTCCACACCCCAACCTCTTATCTCTGTATCCCAATCCCTTATTTCTGTACCCTGACCTCTTATCTCTGTGCCCCAACCCCTTATTTCCATGCCCCAACCCCTTCTCCACTTTTCTGGGAGGCAAAAATCCCCTACCTCTTCTCTCCGTGTCTCTACTCTCTCTTTTCTCTGGGCTCGCCTCCTTCACTATGGGCAAGCTTCCCCCCTCCATTATTTTCTTCTGCAATGCCACTTGACCCCAATACAAACTTGACAGTGGTTCCAAATAGCCAGAAAACGGCACTTTCAATCTTTCCATCCTACAAGATCTAAATAATTCTTGTCGTAAAATGGGCAAATGGTCTGAAGTGCCTGATGTCCAGGCATTCTTTTACACATCAGTCCCTGCCTAGTCTCTGTTCCCAATGTGACTCACCCCAAATCTTCCTTCTTTTACTACTGCCTGTCCCTTCAGTCCCAACCCCAAGTGTCGCTGAGTCTTTCCAATCTTCCTTTTTTACAGACCCATCTGACCTCTCCCCTCCTCGCCAGGCCGAGCTAGGTCCCAGTTCTTCCTTAGCCTCCACTTCTCCACCCTATAATCCTTTTATCACCTCTCCTCCTCACAGCCAGTCCGGCTTGCAGTTTTGTTCCATGACTAGCCCTCCCCGACCTGCCCAGCAATTTCTTCTTTAAAACGTGGCTGGAGCTAAAGGCATAGTCAAGGTTAACGCTCCTTTTTCTTTATCCCAAATCAGAGAGCGTTTAGGCTCTTTTTCATCAAATATAAAAACCCAGCCCAGTTCCTGACTCGTTTGGCAGCACCCCTGAGATGCTTTACAGCCCTAGACCCTAAAAGGTCAAAAGGCCATCTTATTCTCAATATACATTTTATTATCCAATCTGCTCCCGACATTAAATAAAACTCCAAAAATTAAATTCCAGCCCTCAAACCCCACAACAGGACTTAATTAACCTCACCTTCAAGGTGTACAATAATAGAGGCAGCCAAGTAGCAACATATTTCTGAGTTGCAATTCCTTGCCTCCACTGTGAGACAAACCCCAGCCACATCTCCAGCACACAAGAACTTCCAAATGCCTAAACCGCAGTGGCCAGGTGTTCCTCCAGGCCTGCCTCCCCCAGGAGCTTGCTACAAGTGCCAGAAATCTGGCCACTAGGCCAAGGAATGCCTGCAGCCTGGGATTCCTCCTAAGCCACATCCCATCTGTGCAGGACCCCACTGAAAATCGGACTGTTCAACTCACCTGGCAGCCACTCCCAGAGCCCCTGGAACTCTGGCCCAAGGCTCTCTGACTGACTCCTTCCCAGATCTTCTCAGCTTAGCGGCTGAAGACTGACGCTGCCAGATCACCTCGGAAGCCCTGTAGACCAACACAGACACCGAGCTTTAGGTAACTCTCACAGTGGAGGGTAAGTCCATCCCCTTCTTAATCAATACGGAGGCTACCCACTCCACATTACCTTCTTTTGAAGGGCCTGTTTCCCTGGCCTCCATAAGCATTGTGGGTATTGATGGCCAGACTTCTAAACCTCTTAAAACTCCCCAACTCTGGTGCCAACTTAGACAACACTCTTTTAAGCACTCCTTTTTTGTTATCCCCACCTGCCCGGTTCCCTTATTAGGCCAAGACACTTTAACTAAATTATCTGCTTCCCTGACTATTCCTGGGCTACAGCCACACCTCATTGCCACCTTTTCCCCCAGTTCAAAGTGTCCTTCACATCCTCCCCCTGTATCTCCCCACCTTAACCCACAAGTATAGAATACCTCTACTCCCTCCTTAGCAACCCATCATGCACCCCTTACCATCCCATTAAAACCTAATCACCCTTAGCCCACTTAATGCCAATATCCCATCCCACGGCACGCTTTAAAAGGATTAAAGCCTGTTATCACTCACTTGCTACAGCATGGCCTTTTAAAGCCTATAAACTCTCCTTACAATTTCCCCATTTTACCTGTCCTAGAACCAGACAAGTCTTACAGGTTAGTTCAGGATCTGCGCCTTATCAACCAGATTGTTTTGCCTATCCACCCCGTGGTGCCAAACCCATATAGTCTCCTAACCTCAATACCTCCCTCCACAACCCATTACTCTGTTCCAGATCTCAAACATGCTTTCTTTACTATTCCTTTGCACCCTTCATCCCAGCCTCTCTTCGCTTTCACTTGGACTGACCCTGACACCCATCAGGCTCAGCAAATTACCTGGGCTGTACTGCTGCAAAGCTTCACAGACAGCCCCCATTACTTCAGTCAAGCCCAAATTTCTTCCTCATCTGTTACCTATCTTGACGTAATTCTCACAAAAACACACTTGCTCTCCCTGCTGATGATGTCCAGCTGATCTCTCAAACCGCAACACCTTCTACAAAACAACAACTCCTTTCTTTCCTAGGCATGGTTAGATACTTTCGACTTTAGATACCTGGTTTTGCCATCCTAACAAAACCGTTATTTAAACTCACAAAAAGAAACCTAGCTGACCCCATAGACCCTAAATCCTTTCCCCACTTCTGTTTCCATTCCTTGAAGACAGATTTAGAAACTGCCCCCAACCTAGCTCTCTCTGACTCATCCCAACCTTTTTCATTACCCACAGCCAAAGTGCAGGTTGTGCAGTGGGAATTCTTACACAAGGACCGGGATTGTGTCCTGTAGCCTTTTTGTCCATACAACTTGACCTTACTGTTTTAGGCCAGCCATCATGTCTCCGTGCAGCAGCTGCTGCTGTCCTAATACTTTAGAGGCCCTTAAAATCACAAACTATGCTCAACTCACTCTCTACAGTTCTAACTTCCAAAATCTATTTTCTTCCTCACACCTGACACATATACTTTCTGGTCCCCCGGCTCCTTCAGCTGTACTCACTCTTTGTTAAGTCTCCCACAGTTACCATTGTTCCTGGCCCAGACTTCAATCCGGGCTCCCATGTTATTCCTGATACCACACCTGACCCCCATGACTGTATCTCTCTGATCCACCTGGCATTCATCCCATTTCCCCGTATTTCCTTCTTCCCTGTTCCTCACTCTGAACACACTTGGTTTATTGATGGCAGTTCCACCAGGCCTAATCGCCACACACCAGCAAAGGCAGGCTATGCTATAATATAAGCCACTAGCCCGCCTCTTAGAACCTCTCATTTCCTTCCCATCGTGGAAATCTATCCTCAAGGAGATAACTTCTCAGTGTTCCATCTGCTATTCTACTACTCCTCAGGGATTCTTCAGGCCCCCTCCCTTCCTTACACATCAAGCTCGGAGATTTGCCCCCACCCAGGACTGGCAAATTAGCTTTACTCAACATGCCCCAAGTCAGAAAACAAAAATACCTCTTAGTCTAAGTAGACACTTTCACTGGATAAGCAAAAGCCTTTCCTACAAGGTCGGAGAAGGCCACCACAGTCATTTCTTCCCTTCTGTCAGATATAATTCCTCTGTTTAGCCTTCCCACCTCTATACAGTCTGATAACAGACCGGCCTTTATTAGTCAAGTCAGCCAAGCAGTTTTTCAGGCTCTTAGTATCCAGTGAAACCTTTATATCCCTTACGGTACTCAGTCTTCAGGAAAGGTAGAACGGACTAAAGGTCTTTTAAAAACACACCTCACCAAGCTCAGCCACCAACTTAAAAAGGACTGGACAATACTTTTACCAATTTCCCTTCTCAGAATTCAGGCCTGTCCTCAGAACGTTACAGGGTACAGCCCATTTAAGCTCCTGTATGGACGCTCCTTTTTATTAGGCCCCAGTCTCATTCCAGACACCAGACCAACTTCGACTATGCCCCAGAAAACTTGTCATCCCTACTATCTTCTCTCTAGTCATACTCCTAGTCACCATTCTCAACTACTCACACATGCCCTGCTCTTGATTACACTGCCAGTTTACACTGTTTCTCCAAGCCATCACAGCTGATATCTCCTGGTGCTATCCCCAAACCTCCACTCTTAACTCTTAAAGTAAATAAACCTCTGCTGGCAAGACTATGCTGAACCTCCTTAGGCACTCTCTAATTAGATGTCCTGGTCCTCCCAATTCTTAGACCTTTAATACCTGTTTTTCTCCTTCTTTTATTCCATTTAGTTTTTCAATTCATACAAAAATATATCCAGGCCACCACTAATAATTCTACATGACAAATGTTTCTTCTAAAAACTCCACAATATCACCCCTTACCACAAAATCTTCCTTCAGCTTAATCCTTCCCACTCTAGGTTCCCACGCCACCCCTAATCCTGCTCGAAGCAGCCCTGAGAAACATCACCCATTATCTCTCCATACCACCCCCAAAAATTTTCGCCGTCCCAACACTTTACCACTATTTCATTTTATTTTTCTTATTAATATAAGAAGACAGGAATGTCAGGCCTCTGAGTCCAAGCTAAGCCATCATATCCCCTGTGACCTGCACGTACACATCCAGATGGCCAGTTCCTGCCTTAACTGATGACATTCCACCACAAAAGAAGTGAAAATGGCCTGTTCCTGCCTTAACTGATGACGTTATCTTGTGAAATTTCTTCTCCTGGCCCATCCTGGCTCAAAAGCTCCCCTGCTGAGCACCTCATGACCCCCGCATTCCTGCCTGCCAGAGAACAATCCCTCTTTTTCCTTTACTTACCCACATCGTATAAAACAGCCCCACCTCTATCTCCCTTTGCTGACTCTCTTTTCGGACTCAGCCCGCCTTCACCCAGGTGAAATAAACAGCCTTGTTGCTCACACAAAGCCTGTTTAGTGGTCTCTTTACACCAACGCGCGTGAAAGAAGGCAGAGGGAAAAACATAGAAATAAATGAATGTCCCCACTACTCACAACATGAATCCATAGATATCGTGTGGGAAAATAAAGAATTAATATGACAGAAAATTATCACTATAGAAATAATTATAACAAAATAAATGTTCTGTAATTAGAACAAAGAAACAGAAACTAAAACTAATAGTAAAACTGAAAATAACATGAATCATACAATGAAAAATTCTAAAAGAAATGTGAAAACAGTAAACTCAGGAAAGTATCACGAAGTTAACACCAACGATATGCGTCCAATCTGGAAAAAAAGAGTTCATAAAATGCGTCTATTTACTTGATGAATCCCTAACTAATATTCATCCATCCACTTAATAAAGGAGATGTTTCTGAAAAGTGATTTATGAGTGTTGAAAATAAACAAGAAAAATGCAGACCCACCAAATACAAACGAAAAACAGAACCACAATTTTAATATGATTAAAGGTTGAATTCAGGAGAAAGAACACTAAACAGGGCTAGGAACTGCACTTAGTGAAAAAGTCAACAATCCACATTGCAATAAAATTTTCACATTGTTAGACAGCTAAGTACCAAACAGCATAGAATTAATTGTCATAAGGCAAAAACAAAGGAACTATAAGAATAAATATGGCCGGGCGCGATGTCTCATGCCTGTAATCCCAGCACTTTGGGAGGCCAAGGTGGGCGGATCACTTGAAGTCAGGAGTTCAAGACCAGCCTGGCCAACATGGTAAAACCCCATCTCTACTAAAAATACAAAAATTAGCTGGGCGTGGTGATGCATGCACCTGTAATCCCAGCTACTTGGGAGACTGAGGCAGGAGAACTGTTTGAACCTGGGAGAGGGAGGTTGCAGAGCTGAGATCACATTGTGGCATTCCAGCCTGGATGACACAGCAAGACTCCATCTGAAAATAATACTAATAGTAATAATAATAATAATAATAATAATAATAATAATAAATATATGTAAAAAGCATTTGTTTATAATAGGGATCCACAAACTACTGGTACCTGTCTCACTGCCTCATTTTGGGGAAAAAAAAAAAAAAAAAGAAAAGAGAAAAGAAAAAAAAAGCCCTGTTGGAATCCCACTGTGGGTTTTTTCTAGATGGTCTTTTTCAATCCACAGACTGAGTTGAACAGTTGCAGTGGCGGCTGCATGGCCCACAAAACTGTACATATTTACTCTCTGGTCCTGCAGAGAAATCGTTTGCCAGCTCAAGTACTGACTAAGTTTATTATAGCCCTCAGGCAGGAAAACAAAAACAAAAACAAAAACCACTAAAGAATAGAAGTAATCTGGTAAATTAGTACCCTATTAATTATATTTTTATACATGAGCACTCCAAGATCAGAAAAGACACCATCTTTCAAAGTTCTAATTACCTTTTAAGACAAACTAACTGTACATCAAACTGCAAAGTAAGCAATATATTCTCAAGGTAGCAAGAGACATGGATGGATTCTTTCATTACAATTCAATATGCTGAAGTATTAAAATGATCATAAAATTAAATGGTGCTCTTTCCTGGGAAATGTTTTCCTGACATAGCACTTGGGTATAATGGAAAATCTATCTGGAATGTTATTGGATATATAGAATAATACACAAAGGAGAAACTATATTTCAGAACCGAAGGGACAGAGCAACAGTAGCACCAAGAGAAAAATATTTGTTCTTATGTACTTGAAGTACTAAGAAAAGAAGAGTAAATGTAAAAGAATTCAAGGCCTGAGATGAAGGAATTAGAGGGTGCGCAAAGTTATGAAATCAGGCCAGGCACAGTGGTTCACCCCTGTAATCCCAGCACTTTGGGAGGCCGAGGCCGGCCGATCACCTGACGTCAGGAGTTCAAAACCAGCCTGGCTAACATGGCGAAACCCCGCCTCTACTAAAAATACAAAAAATAGCCAGATGCCGTGGCATGTGCCTCTAATCCCAGCTACTTGGGAGGCTGAGGCAGGAGAATCACTTGAACCCGGGAGGCGGAGGTTGCAGTGAGCTGAGATTGCACCATTGCCCTCCAGCCTGGGTGATAGAGTGAGACTCCATCTCAAAAAAAAAAAAAAAAAAAAGTTATGAAATCATTTTATAAAATAGAGACTTACCACTCTAGTAACCTTTGTGACTGTGTGGTAATCTCATGCATATTGGACAAAAGAAGAACAATTTTGCTGAACCTTGTTTTGTTATCAGCATGAAAGAGGTTAACCATGCTGGTGGCTCCTCTGGATGTTGTAGGAATCATATACCACCTATGGAAATGCTACTCTGATCACTCACTGAAGATTCTGAAAAGGTAAAAGCTTTCATTCATATTCAGAGCAAGAATAGAGTCTCCAGGTGCTAGTCAGACTCATTTGCCATAGAGGGAGGGTTGGGGGTGAGCTGCTTGTGTTCAGAGGAGACAGTGGCCTCAGGCCTCAGGAGAAACTCGGGGCCAACCCTACTCCAGACAGACAGCTACTGCTGATTCAAGAGCACCCTTAATTTCTTAGCCTTCTCAATGCTGCTCCTGCAGCTTCCCAGAAGTCACGTGAATCACATGCATCTTCAGACTAAGCCCCCTTCAAGGTGAGACAGCTGGAGTTGGTATCTAGTACAGATTGCTTTCAACCTCTTGGTAATCCCCAGGCCTGGAGGACCTCCAGTCTTCTGTTGTTTATTTAGAGTTAGGACAGACCTACCTCCCCTGGAATGTGAAGGAACATGTCCTCAAGGAGGTGATATTGAGGCTGTGCATTGCAGCAGGAACGGATGTTTCTTGTGTAGAAAGGAATGAGAAGGAGAGTGGGAAAGACATGTGAAAGCGTTATTCTTGGGATGTTTTTACAGTTAGATGATAAGCATCTTGAAGAACAACAACATAGCTAATACATGTTTACCTCCTGAAGATAGTCCTGAGCTCACAGGGTGTTTGCTCCCAGGTAAAGGAAGAACTAGTGGTGTTTCACAAAAATAGAAGCTGCTATAGTAGGTGGACATTTTTATTTTATTTTATCACATGTCAGTAGTTTAACCCAGTAGTTTCCCTACTCAGCTTTGCGTCAAAAAAAATGAAAGAGCTTTAAAAAATACAGATTTTCAGGAACAACTCTATATCTATTGAATCAAAATGTCAGATACAAGATATTCAGGATTCTATATTTAGAATGAGCTTCCTCTGGGATTCTGACATGTAGACATGTATGGGATCTACTGGAATCTACAGTCAGTGATACCTATGTTTTTGGCTGTATAATTTGATATATAAAATGTAAATAGATAGAAGGATAGATAGATAGGCAGATAGGTAGATAGATTTGTACTGGCTGTGTTTAGCAATGTTAATGTAATTATCTTTATCCTTAGTCTGGCTAAATGTTTGTCAATTATGTTGGTGTTTTCAAAATACCAACTGTTAGTTTTGTTGATTTATTCTGTTTATCTATTCTCTTCTTCATTTATTTCTACTCTAAAACTTAGTTCCTTTTTCTGCTAACTTTGGCTTTAACTTGTCATTTTTCTAGTTTTTTGAGGCATAAAATTAGGTTGCTTACTTCAGGTCTTTTTTTCTATTTTGTTTTAGGTGTTTATTACCGAAAATTTTCTTTTTAGTGCCTGCATTTCATACGTTTTGGTATGTTGTCCTATCATTTTCATTTGTCATATTTTTTTATTTCCCCTATAATTTGTTCTTTGAATGATTATTTGTTCAAATGTACATTGTTTCATTTTCATTTTGTGAATTTCCGGTTTTTCTTTTGGTATTCGTTTCTAGTTTCATTTCATTTTTGTCATAAACAATGCTTGGTATGATTTTGATTTTCACAAATTTATTAAAACTTGTTTTGTGGCCTAACATATGATCTCTTCTAGAGAATGTTCCAAGTGCACTTGAAAAGGATCCATATTCTGCCTTTTTTGGGTGAAGTATTCTGTGTATGTGTGTCTGTTGGGTGCAGTTGGTCGATAGCATTGTTTAATCTTTTGTTTCCTTATTGTTCTTCTGTCTGGTTGGTCTATTCATATTCAAAGTGAGGCACTGAAATTTCTTACCATTAATGTATTACATTCTACTTTGAGTTCTGTCAATGTATGACTTACATATATGGCGGCTTTGTTGTCAGGTGCAAATAGATTCACAATTATTACATCTTTCTGGTCAACTGATCCTTATATTGTCATATAACATCCCTCTTTGTCTCCTGTCACAGTTTTTGATTTAAAGTCTTTACTGTCTGAAATATGCCTGGCCATGACTACTCTCTTTTAGTTACCATTTGCACAGGATATATTTTCTATCCTTTCACTTTCAGCCTGTGTATGTCTTTATCTAAAATGAGTCCTTTGTAGAGAGCATATAATTGTAAAATTGTGTTTTTCAAAATCTATTCAGTAACTCTAAGTCTTTTTATTTGGGAATTTAATCCATTTACATTGAAAGTGATTACTGATAGGTAAAGACTTAATATTTCCATTTTGTTAGTTGTTTTCATATATTTTGTGTTATTTTATGCCTGTTTTCCTGTCTTGCTGCCTTCATTTGTGTGTCTTTTAGGTTTTGTTTTGGCATGGTTTGATTCTTTTTGCGTGTTATTTGTGCATCTTCTGTAGATTTTTTTGTGTGTTGTTTACATTGAGATTACATAAATTATAACATCAATTATAACAATCCTTTTTTTTTTAGACAGAGTCTCGCTCCATCACCCATGCTGGAGTGCAGTGGCACTATTTTAGCTCACTGCAACCTCTGCTGCCTGGGTTCAAGCAATTGTCCTGTCTCAGCTTCCCGGGTAGCTGGGATCACAGGCGCCTGCCACCACACTCACCTAATTTTTGTATTTTTAGTAGAGACAGAGTTTCACCATATTGGCAGGCTCGTCTCAAACTCCCAACCTCAGGTGATCCACTTGAGTCAGTCTCCCAAAGTGCTGGGATTATATGCGTGAGCCACCGCGCCTGGCCTGTAACAATCAATTCTAACATATAGAAAGCACACAGGCTCCACTCTTATCTTTACTCTACTTTATCAGTATTACAATTTACATCTTTTAAAATTATTACTCACTAACATAGTTTTATAGTTAATTTTATGCTTTTATCTTTTAAATTCTATACCAGAATTAAAAGTGTTTGCACACTACTGTTACAGTATTACAGTATGCTGTATTTGTGTATATGTTTTCCTTTACTAGTGAGTTTTATACTTTTATATGCTTTCATGTTGCCATCTGGTGTGTTTTTGTTTTAATATGAATGATTACCTACAGCAATTCTTTTAAAGAAGCCATAGTAATGTGGAACGCCTTTGGCTTTTGTTTATCCAGGAATGTCTTTACTTCTTTTTTATTTTCAAAGAGTACTTTTGCCAGAAACATTAAGTTTCTCTGACTCAATAATTTCAATTCAGCTCTGAGTTTGCTGATTTTTCTTCTGCACCATCAAGTCTTCTGTTGATTTCCTTTATTTATTTTTCAATTTAGTTATTGTATTCTTTAGCTCCAGAATTTAAGTTCAGTTATTTTCTATAGTTTCCATAGCTTTAATGATATTCTAATTTTTTAATGTATTGTTTTGCCGATTTTATTTAGTTGTCTACCTGTGTTCTTTAGTAGTGTGTTGAGCTTCATTATGACAATTACTTTGAATCTTTTGTCAGGTAATTCATATATCTCTATTTCTTCATGATAAGTTTCTGGATTTTTTTTTTATTGGAACATGTAGTCTTGTTTCTTTGTTTTTTGCCATTATGTTTTTCGAATAAACTCTTAGCTCCATTTTACTTCTTTTCTCCTTCTGGAACTACTATCATGTGTGTATTGGTTTGCTTGATTGTATCCCTTACGTCTTTTTGTGTGTGATTGAACTTTTCAAGGAGGTCAACCAGTCTCCATGAGAGCTTTCAGCTTTTGGTTCCCTCTGATTCTTTACATAGTACTGCACATTCTCTCTCAGTGCGAGAAGACAATAAGCTCTGAGCTCTTGTATGTCTTCAGTGGTCCTCAGCCATGCAAAGTATGCAGGTATCTCAGCATTTTAAGTCAGACAAGACAGAAACTCATCCCTCAGGCAGCCTTCCCCAAATTTGGATTATTATATGTACATTCCACTCTTCTCTTTCCTGTCCAAGGCAGAAGCTGCAAGTTTAGCCCTATTTTTTTAATCACAAGCTATCACTACTTGGTGAAGAGACTAATGTAGTTAAGATGAAATTGGTTTTCCTTTTCCCATTTGAATGCAGCAGTTGTTGGATTTGAGGTGCCTGTGGCATTACAACTTCCTAACAGCTTTCTGGAGTTCTCATAGATGTTTTTTTGAGTGTATATTGTTGTTAGGTCAGGGTTTCTGTAACAGAACAATTTCTAGAACTCCCTATTCCATTATCTTGCTGTTATCCTATCTCTAGATACCTTTAGCAATAATGTACAGGTGATCCTTGAACAACATGAATAAAATGTACAAGTCCACATATACATGGATGTTTCTCAATGAATACATTTGGCACTTTTTATCTGTGGTTTCCACATCCATGACCGATTATGGATAAAAAATACAGTATTTGTGGGATACGAAGTGTGAAGATATGCAGGGCCAACTTTTCATATCCATTGATTCTGCAGGGCCAACTGTGGGACTTGAGATTTCATAGTTTGTGGTTTCTGAACCAGTGGGCCTTCTGGAACAAATTCCCCACAAATACCAAGGGACAATTGTATTCAGTAATCTTTTTTTTACTGTAGTAATTATATTCTTTGGGAAATCTTTTTTGGAAGGTTTAATGTTTTATCTTGTGGTGAATAACTTAGAAATTTTACCTGAAACATTTTGTAGGCATAAAAGTGCCTCTCTATAACTGTAAAAATGACCATACATAATGTGTATTACCTGGGACAAATTGTACTGGTAGTAAACATACTATTTGTACAGCTATTCTCATTGAATTTTCCTTTATTATGCTAATGTTTATGCTAATACTTTGGAGATATATCTTTATATAAGCAAATACATATGTGTACATACTATATAAGTATTTATGTATATTCATATGAATAAATAAGTTAATAAATACTAAATTATATATGCATAAAATTAACTGTAGTGTCTATGTCTCCAAATATCTTGGAACTTAATTTATCTTAAGATTTTACGATTAATATCTAAGTTCAAAACTATGTTTCTCAATGAACTACATATCAGCTAAAGCCTATAGTCCCAGCTACATATGACCATAAATAAAAAGCTAAATATAAAACACTAAAATAATTGCCTTAACTTTGCATTTAGATAATAACTATTTCTCAAAGAGGAATACAATATCTATGTGAAAAAATTAGAGTAGCTTGTTTTTCATATTAAAATAAGTGAATCTTGAATTAAAGAATGCCGCAAGTAAACATGCTAAAGGTTAATGAGGTATAAAACATTCTGCAGTTGGCATTAAACATTTATAAACCATTTTTATCTGCACAGTGTCTTACTAGCAACTCTAAGTTTACACAGACAGCATTTCTTCTTATTGAAGTAACTAGAGAATGAAATTTTTGTCCCCATAAATAGCAAAATTCATAAACAAATTCATATGTTGAGCATTGTAATTGCATTATCTAGTTGAGACTGTTTATTCAAAACACTCTATAAAAGTATGTATCATTTCTGACAGTTGTTTTAACAAGATATTAGAACAAAAAAGATGTGGTTTAGTCTCACCTAAATTATTTCATGTTGTGAACCTTGGAAAGATTTATAAAGCAAGCGCCTCCATCTTTTTAGATTTGAGTAGGTTTGATAGTAGTGATGTTATTTTCTAGCAGGGAATTAAAACGTCCCTAGGCCATAAATGGCAAAAAAAAAAAAAGTCACTCATTGGGTGAGAAAGCCTCCAGCAAGTTCTGCTTATGGAAATCAAATATCATTTTAATGTTCAATAATTTTTAAAGTGTAGTGTGTCAGTGCACCTTCACAACACTCTTTGAAGAAGGCAAAGTAGGCTTTATTTGCCTCCTTAGTTAAAATGTGTGTAAAGGAAACCCTGTCTAATTTAAATAACTCCCCCAATTTTATACAGATTATTAGAAAATCTGTCTCTCTAGGTCCCAAGATTTTTTGAATTAAGCCAAATGCTTTTTCAGATAACTCTTTTCTCCCTTTGGGAAAAAAAAAAAATAGGAGAATTAAAATCAAGGAGGACAAAAGAAGGGCACATCCTTCTCAGGCTTTTATAGTTTGGGGCATACATGAGATGTGAATTTTTGAAGAAAAAAAAAAAGGCGGGGGGTCAGTCACATACGAAGCTATCTTGTCCCAAGTTTCTCGGGACAATGAAGATGTCATATCCTTCAGGCCGTGTGAAAAGCACTAAATTTGGCCAAAGACAGGAAAGAATACTACTCAAAATGGACAGCAATAGTTACTGAACAACGGTAAGGATTATAGGGCTCCCCAAACCTCAAAATCTCTTCTACCTTTTTCAAATGATTTATGATATTTTAATATAAATTTATGTTTACATTTTTGTATAATTCAGAAAAGAGCTTTTGAAAGATGGTATCAGAGTCTTCTTTAAACCTGTTTATCCCTAAGTTAATTATTTCTTTTCTACCCCACTTAGGGAAGCACTGCCCCTAAGATTCCCTCCCTTAACTGTTTTTTCTACAGCTAGTTTGCTTCTGCTCTTGCCTCGTCTACAGTGAGACAGCACCTACAAAGGAACCTGGGAAAATACAAATACAGTGTACTGGGAAATATTTTCAAGGCTAGCAATATTCTGTACGTTTCTCTTAAAGCCAAATAATTGAAACTCTATTCAAAGCAAACTGATTCCTCCTTAAAATGTGAAAGACACGAAAAAATAATTAAATAAAATGATTTTCCCCTCCGTGAACACAAGTGCTAAATTCGTAGTTAATATCATTTACATAAGAATAGAAGAAGAGAATATTAACCCTAACAAAGTAAGATATCTCGTGTGCATTAGATTTGATGATCAAGTAATTGATTTTCCTAAGGAGTCTCTTGTAAATATGCTCTGTGCACATCTATTTCTCCCATGGATCACTTTATGCTCTATCCTCAGACCTCTTCTTTCCTTGCTTTATGGGCTCTCAGGATCAACTCATCATTCCGAAAACTTAATAATCATTGACTGAGGGCTTTTCTGAGTTTCAAGGCAGAATCTCCAATTTTTCAAAAGATACATGTCTGTATGGATTCACACACTGATATGGTTTGGCTGTGTCCCCACCCAAATCTCATCTTGAACTGTAGTTCCCATAATCCCCACATGTTGAGGGAGGGACCTGGTGGGTGGTGATTGAATCATAGGGGCAGTTACCGCCATGCTGTTCTCATGATAGTGAGTGAGTTCTGAAGGGAGCAGATGGTTTTATACTGGGCTCTTCCCCACTCCTTTGCTCATTCTTCTTCTCCCTGCTGCCATGTGAATAAGGATGTGTTTATGTCCGCTTCCACCACAATACACCATCTAAGCCCAGTTCAGGGTTTTTCTCCTAAATCTGCCTGCCAGCATTGTTATGTATCATGAGTTAATGGCACCATATTCTTCACATTCATCAAGATACCAGAATCATCACTTCTCTCTCCCGCTTTCTCATAACTCATAGGTAACTCAGTGTTTCCAATTCTATGACAATAATCAAAGGGCTTTTAAGCAATACATTGTAATATAAATGCTTATGGTGAGATAGATATGCTTTAGTGGGCTGGGAACAGCAGAAGAGATCTAGGGAAGGCTGACTGACACATAGCTGCAGGGCTCAGAGAACATAGGGCAGGGTGGAGACTTGGGAAAACTGGAAATCACGTACACACCTGGTTATTCTCATGAGGAAATGAGACTTCATTCACACACCCTGCATCCTCCGTCACCACCTTTAAATTTTTGTTGTTGTTGTTATTAATTAAGGAATCTGGAAATGCAAGTTTTAAGTAAAATATCCTAATATTGAAATAATGACAACTGATTTTTAAAACAAAACAAAGATGTATGTGGACCAAGTGTTGAGGCAGCCAGATGTGGTCACAGTGCTATGCCCTCTGCTGCTTTTTCTTCCTCTACAGCTGGAAATTTCACACTGCAGTAATTTCTTCCTACATATTTTCCTGTGTCCCTTTTTTCCCCATTCAAAGGCCTTCTATGTATTTCTGACAATTATTTTGTTTAAACACAGGTTTTATCGTCACATTTATCTTTCAAACATCCCCATGGCTCCTGGTTGCCTACACAAGAATTCCAAACTGCTTATCTCCCACACAAATCTTTCCGTAAACAGAGCATCATCTTTCCAACTCTGGGCCATCTTTGCATATTAGCTGTTCAATGCCATGTCTGCCACACTCATTCATGTCATTCTCTGGGTGTGAAGTACCCTTCTGTCTTTCGCAACCAAATCCACACTCATTTCCACGTGCTTCCTCCACCATGAAGCCATCTTCAATCGATAACCTACCCCAGGAAGATTGTTTTGTAATTGGTTAAAGACCAATTCCACTTGTGTCAGCAATAATAATGTGTATTGGTAAATCATTTTATATTTAGAGTTGCAACATAAATTATGTCTTATTATCTTAATGTGGCTATAATTTTCACAAAACACTTTCATGTATGACGAAAGTTGATCCTCAAAGCCACCTCATTAGACTATAGGGCGGGTGGGGACTTGGGAAAACAGGGATGAGGGAAGAACAATGATGATTAATAGAGGTAGCTAAAATGACTCATTCACAGCCCTCAATATGAAAGTCATGAATAGAGTCCAATCCACTGCCTGCAGGGGCAGTAGAGGAAATGGAATCAAGAAACAGAATCTTCATTTGGGGAGTGCCAAAAGTGTACAATTTAGCAGAAAATATGAAAAATCAAGTTTTAGCACGAGATTAAGGGAATAAATATGTTGATGATGTGGGGCACACTCTATGACTCTATTGATAAATGCTAGGAATTAAAGGGAGAAAGATGTCCTGGGACAGCAGATAGGGGGTAGTGGATTATGAGAACTTATTGAGATAGGTGAACTTGAGTTATTCTCACCTCTTAATTATTCATTATGGCAATCAACAAACATTTCCTGAAACCCAGCTACACCTAAGGCCCTGGGCTAACCACGGTGTGTGCTCAAATTTTGAAGTAGGAGCTTGGATAATCCAAACTGACATTTTTATCAAAACTCAGATTGAAACTGAAGAGTAATACTATATATTGAAGATGTGTTGGATGCATTTCTTCACACTGAGAGTAAAAGGCTATTTGAAATAATTGAGTCCAGCATTACTAAAGCTTCCCAGTGGTCACTTCCAACCCGAAGTATTCTTGCCTGGAATAGCAGAGGGCACATCTGCGTAACAGCCATCTCTCAAGCCTGTCTTGCAGGAAGAACCAATGCATGGAGACAAAAGACCCAAGGAAACTCAAATGGTCAAATGAAATAATTAAGGAGTGTAAGCAATCCAAGTCTTTTTATAGCAGTTCTGTTCTCCCTAGAATTGATTTTTAAAAACAAAACAAAACTTTCAGTGCACCAAGTGTCAAGGGCAGCCCGGTGTGGTCACAGCAATGCCTGTGACCCTCCTTTCTGACTTTACCCTTGGTAGACCCACAGCTTTCATTCTTTCCTCAAGGGGACCCCCTCACTTATCAATCATCAAGGCCCTGCCCAAACTTCTTATCCATGAAGAACGTCTCCATTAACTTGGTCCACAAGCATGTCTCCACTGCAAGCTTCCTGGAATTTTTACTCTGCTACCAATATTGCTATGCCAACAGAATTTGTATGCTAATAAAGCCTTGGAAACAGTATATCGTTGATTCATTACTAACAATAAAGTAGCCATTATAAAACATTGTAAAATCATGATATTTTATATAAAATAATTAGGATTCTTTCACATTCCACTTGTTTCTCATTGGGAAGCTGGAAGCTTTCCATACTTCATATGTTCCTGCAGTACCTGGCCTTGGAGAAAGGAGAATATTCTTTGCTAGACCCTCTGGGTTTGGAGAACACATACACCATGTCTATGAAGCGATGTGCTGAGGTGATGAGGAATAGACAGATTCATTAGTATGAACAAAATCTCACAGATTTCACACCATATAATTGGGATTCAGTATGTATTTTTCCAATGGCCTCCTAGTCAATAAACATCTGTAATGAACCTATTATGACTACATTCTTATGTCTATGTAATAAGAGCTATAAAATACACACTGTTTATAAATATTAATAATTTTCAGTGTCTCCTATTCTTATCTGTGTGATTTATATTTAATAATCTTTGGAATTCGAAGATTCTATAAATCCTAATAGGAAAAGAAAAATAAAAAACTCTTTAAAAGATTATAATTGTGATTTCTTGAATCCATTTACAGCTCTTTCATCTTAGGAATGATAAAAGATGTATCTTTTGAGCAGAATCCATTGAGTAAAGGTATCCTTATACATGAGCTTGCCAGGTGCTTTGGTTCACACGTGTAATCCCAACTCTCTGGGAGGCCAAGGTTGCTGAATTGCTTGAGCCCAGGAGTCCCAGAACAGCCTGGGCACTATGGCAAAACCCCAATCTGTTCAAAAAATATAAAAATTAGCTGGGCTACTAAAATTAGCTACAATTAGGTCATGCCTGTAATCCCAGCACTTTGGGAGGCTGAGGTGGGCAGATCATGAGGTCAGGCAATCGAGACCATCGTGGCTAACACGGTGAAACCCCGTCTGTACTAAAAATACAAAAAATTAGCCAGGCATGGTGGCGGGTGCCTGTAGTCCCAGCTACTCGGGAGGCTGAGGCAGGAGAATGGCGTGAACCCGGGAGGCCAAGCTTGCAGTGAGCCGAGATCGCGCCACTGCATGCCAGCTTGGGCGACAGAGCGAGACTCTGTCTCAAAAATAAATAAATAAATAAATAAAAATTAGCTGGGCTTCGTGGTGTGTGCCTGTGCTTAGGGAGCTGAGGTGGGAGGATCACTTGAGCCCAGCAGGTGAACGCTGCATGAGCTGTGGTCTCATGACTGCACTCCAGTCTGGGTGACAGAGTAAGACCCTGTCCTAAAAACAAAAACAAAAAAACCATCATCTTAAACGTATCAATAGTAATAAATACTCACAGAACATCTAGGAAACTGGCGTGCCTTATAAATCATGGTCACAAGTGCTCCATTCTCTTAGCATAAAGAGTGTGTACATGTTTGATTAATCATGCCACAGATTGCTATTTCTGTTAACTATTTTTTAAAGTCTAAAATACCAATTTCAATGAATAGTTTCCATAAGCTTATTTAAGTTATCGTTAGATTTATTTACCAGAAAATCTAGTCACAATCGAATAAAAATCAAGCTAGTAATTGCAGCGTTACATCTCTCCCATTTGTCATTTTCTTCACTATTTAGTTGGCTTTCATGTTTTCTTTTTATCTTCTGTAGATTTTATTACCGGTGCCTGGTTTATCTTTATCAAATTATAGATTCCTTACCTACTGCCTTCACTGGCTCCATATAATGAACATTTTAATAATTGACCTATAATACTCCTCTCATTTCAAGTAGTTTAATATATGAATGAATATTTCTCTCCTCTATAGTCTCTAGATTTTAAACATTTTATATTCCCAATGACAACTAGTTGGTTTTATACAATAAATAATATAGCGATACAACAGTAGCAGAAGAAATTAATAGCTTTACTTTGAAACGTGTACATTAGTGCGGGCTATAGATGAAATTCAGTTGCTTCAATGTGTGTGGAAAATATATAAGACTGAGGATACTAATAATTTGCAGAAAGAGGATATTTTTAGATAGAAGGAAGACCGTTATTATTTCTTTTTCAGAATCTCACTTGATCTTTGCAACGGCTTCAAAATACTTATTATATCATAGAAAGCTTATTATACCATAGAAAGCTGAGATATATAGGATAAAAACGCTGTCTAGTAAATTACATGTAATTGATTCATAGGTAACTTGAGCATAGAATGAGATGCCCTGTCTCTTAGTGGCAGCCTTTTGATAAAGCATTTACTCTTGTATCTTTCTCTTTGATAAGATTTTATTATGTATGTATGTATGCATGTATGTATGCATTTATTTATTTACTTATTTATAAGCCATTTCAAACTCACGTGAAATTGTTTATTCTCTGCGGGCCTAAGTTTCCACATCTGTGAAATAGTGACAGCATTAGGACGTATATGACAGGGATATTGTAAGAATCTAGTATGTTACAAATGTAAGACATTTAGGTAAGCACTTCATATAAGCTAAGCACCCCATGAGTGTAAGTGAAGTATTTGTAGTGGTAGCACTAAGCTACTGTAAATATCAAAGGAGCCCTCCAATCGGAAATTATCTAATTGATACAATTATTTTTGTTACATAAATAAGTGGCACACATTTTCTTCAAATTCACTTTCCACGGAAGGATTCCATTTCAGATAAGATTTTTCTCCAAGAAAAAACAAAAATGAAAACAGAACAAAACATAACAATTTGTAACTGTTGGTAAGATTTTCCTTAGTTATTTTGAGGAGGGCATAAAGATGTTCCTTATTAAATTTACCCAGGACTTTGGGAATTGAGAAAGTTTAACCTCCTAAAAGAAATAAAGAGACTGCAATTAAACTACTTTCTCAGGGTCACATATCTAGTAGGAGGCTAAATAGAAAAGTGACATTGTTTTCTTTCTAATACTAAAAACTACTAAGGGCAGCAAGCTCTGTGCCTCTCTCCTATGAGTGGATATAGTTGCAACAAACATTTGTATGTCAAATTGGAGATGTGTAGAGCGTGAATGAATGCATGGAAAGCTGGATGCAAAAAGATTCCTCGGACCTACCAGTCTATGAGTGCATTGCCTCTTTGCTTTGTGGCCAGATACTGTTTTTGCATCTTGACTTATAAGTATCACTATTTCTTCTGCTCACAAATTTGTGTCAATTTCTTGCTACCTGTATCAACTAACACCACCACCCTCCTCCCCCAAGAGGTCAGTTACTCTCAGAAGCAAATGTTCCTGAAAAGATAAGAGACAGAAAGATCCAAATGAACATTTACAGAGAAAAAAAATACTTTGTGTCCTCATAGACTATATCAATAGCATAAATTGAAGAAAGAAAGAAGAAAAAAATCATGCAGAGCGAAGGGAGGTGCACAGAATCAATAAGGGCGATGAGGGCATTGGGCCCAAGAGCAGGGGATGTAGATAGAATCTGTAGCATGAGCACCAGTGGACCCCAGCGACTAGATGAGAGATCATCTTCTGTGGCCATCCCAGGGGGTCCTTCACCTGCCAGCAGGCAGCAACAACCCACGCAGTGTGTGTTCTGAATGGACTCTGGGCACACCTTGTTCTCGACCGTATGACCATCCTGTGCACCCACGAGGCCTCGGAACACAGGATAGAGAATTCTGCATCTTCCTGAAGAGAGCTTTATTCCTGAGTGAGATATCATGAAGCCAGTTTGAAAGTTTCCATCCAGTTGGGGATGAAAGATGTGGCCCCATGATGTCCAGTTTTCAGTTATTGCTAAACAAGCCCGTTTTGATTTCCTCCAACTTCTTATTCTTTGGGGGCTGTTTCTGTCACTGTGTGCTTGTTTAGAAGAGTCTTTACTCTTCTGAGCTATACTGGCTGCTCTACCAACATGAGGTGGAGCAGGTATCAAAGTCTGTTATCTGTAATATGGGGAAATTAGGAGGCCTGAGATACTAGAGATGTAAGAACTTTTTCTATGTCTATAACATAGATACTGTGTATGTCTATGACCGTTTTAGACAAAATCCGGTTATTCTGGCTTTATTTAAACGAAGGCAATGAGCCAACGGCTTTGCCTTTTTTTTTTTTTTTTTTTTTTTTTCAGACAGTCTCTTTCTCTGTCACGTAGGCTGGAATATAGTGGCACGATCACTGCAGCCTCTACCTTCCAGGCTCAAGTGATCTTCCCACCTCGGCATCCCAAGTAGCTGGGACTACAGGCACACACCACCATGCCTGGCTACTTTATACATATATATTTTTTTTGTACACAGAGGGTCTTGCTGTGCTGTCAAGGCTTGCCTGGAACTCCTGAGCTCAAGGAATCCTCCCACCTAAGCCTCCCAAAGTGCTGGAATTACAGGCAGGAGCCACCACGCCGGACCGGCTTTGTCTTTTTAAACATGCCATGGCTTTGTGTATCTCCTCTTTATTCTGCTTTACTAACTCTGCCTTCTGGGTCACTGCATGCCTGTGAGCCTCCACATAGGCATCCTCCACAGCTAAGCACCCAGGACAGTGCCTTTAGCTCTGGACACCTGCCCAGCCAATTCCTCACTTGTCTCCTCCATTTCATGGAGACGATAAACGGGTGATTCACATAATCAAATGAATGGAAAAAGTATTTTGATCCTTACTGAGCTATGGACATGCATAGAGACTCAACTGTCATGTAGAGCTGCAATACATAAATAATCTCAAATGGATTTTCCTGCAAGATGTGGAGATGTCCAATATCTCAAACTGGAATTACTTGCCTTAGTTACTCAGTTGCTTACCTTAATCACTTCACCTTTAGTTCACACCACAGGCCTTTTCGATCTGCTTTCTTCTCCCAAAACACCACTGAAACTGCCCTTGACAAGCTCAGAAGAAACTCCCACCAGCTGATTCCAACGGGCCAAGCCTCCCTTAGCCGCTGCCTCCTTTGTGAAATACTATTTTCTCTTGCCTTATTCGAGACCTCAGCTGCCCATTTTTCCTCCTGATAGATTGACTGTCCCTCCCCAAAATCTTTCTATAGTTAATGTTCTAATGCCTACTTCCTAAACGTGCAAGAGCTTCTGGCGGCAACCTTTACTCCTTTTCACTTTTCTAGCTTTACTCTCTTCTTGAGGTGTTTTCTTTATTTCCATATATTTTCATAGCACTCTTCTACTAATGACTTTCAGTGTCAATGTCCCCTAAGGTTCAGATTTATACAACAGCAACTACCATCTTTTACAGCTGTGCCCCAGTCCACGTTTAACTTGTTTATATCGTTGATTGATATCTCAGGGAATCTTTGAGTTAAATTTTTAAAGGAATGGCTAAATCTTCTAGTAGGAATAAAGTCATTCAATCTGTTCTCTAGTTTAAAACTGAATGCTTGTAGTCAGTACACATTTCCAATAGACTAAGATATTCCAGTTTCCTAGATGACCAAAGGAAGAGATTTCAGTACCCTAAAGAAAAATATGCAGAACAGGAGTAAGGAGAATACTGAAATTGTGAGAAGAAAGAGCTAGAACAACTTGGAAAATTGCCAGACAACAAATGCAATGATTTCTACCAACTAACGGGTTGTGATTCAAACAACCCTAGAAAAGGAAGGTAAAGATATATTGAAGAAAAAATTCAGGTGTAGTTTTCAACACCCTGTCAGCAAATGTTCTACTGAAAGTCTCCACATCCTGCAGGAAAATTCATTTGAGATTATTTGTGTGTTTTAGTTCTTGATTACAACGTAGTCTCTATGCATGTCCATAGCTCAATACCTTCTTTTTTTTTTTTTTTGAGACGGAGTTTCGCTGTGTCACCCAGGCTGGAGTGCAGTGGCGCGATCTCAGCTCACTGCCAGCTCCGCCTCCCGGGTTCACGCCACTCTCCTGCCTCAGCGTCCCGAGTAGCTGGGACTGCAGGCGCCCGCCACCACGCCTGGCTAATTTTTTGTATTTTAAGTAGAGACAGGGTTTCACTGTGTTAGCCAGGATGGTCTCGATCTCCTGACCTCGTGATCCGCCCGCCTCTGCCTCCCAAAGTGTGGGGATTACAGGCATGAGTCACCGCGCCCGGCCGAGAATACCTTCTTTGAACTACGAAATATATCTAATAAATATTCCCCCTATATTATGCCCTATATTACTATTGACATTGCCCAAAATTTCCTTATTTATTTCTGAAGCTTTTACACGAAAAACATACCCTTGATTAGTTACTCTAAATTTTAAGATGAAAGTAAAACACACTTTTAAATTTTTTTCAGAAAAGTAAAACATACTTTTAATTTTTTTTTTCAGAAACTAGATAAAATGGACCACTTCCCATTTGTTTGAAATCTCTTTTAGCATGTAAATTTAAGAGGAAGGGGTTAATTTTAAGCAGGGATGCCAAATAAAGACAGTAATTATAAACTAATGGTAAATATGAACTGTCACTGACCTAGTAAAACAATAATGATGATGATGGGTAAATAATTTGCGAGAAATGTATAAACGGGAAAACGTTAATACTCTGCATAAGTAGCAGAAGTAAGAGAAGCAGGTAAAACATTATAAAATATTTTCATTGTTCTCTCAGGGCATTAGCCGTCACCTGACCTCGCTTCCCCACATTCTGTTTCCCCTTTTTTGATCAATTTTACAATATTTTCCTCAATTTTCAAAGCCTTCCTCTATATACCTGAAAGCTATCAGCAAAACAAACTGTAGATTCAATTTCTTTGAAGAATCACCTTCACTCTCTTGCTTTCATTAAAACCTGGTCCTCCGTACATTTGTCATTTTCCTGAAGCTTTCACTCTTACGCTCTTGGTAGCACACAGATATTAGCGCCATTATTATTTTATCTTATCTTCATTCCTGCTCCCAAACCATTTCCCGTTCTCCTCCTTAAAAATCTGCTCTTCACTCGGAGTTTCTGCCACTAATACAGCCATTCCTATTACTCTTTGATGCAGTTATCTACAGTTCAACAGATTTTCATACTAGCTACAAAATACAGCCCATTGGATGCTGGGAAACAGTTCAGTTTAACCCTATCGTTCGTTGACGATTTGGGCACAAAACTCACTCTTTTTCTGTAATGCTAATCCTATCACATTCTATCACTATCTGTAATGCCAATCCTATCACATTTCTTGGTAACATCAATATTGACGACATTGCTGAATACTCTGCGTTTTCTTGATGTTTTCAATTTTACTGATCTTGTTCTTTACCCTCCCTATTCAACCATTCCCATGGATACATACTATAAGCAATATTTTATGTACAAATTGTATCTTATTTTAATTTTATTCTTAAAATATGAATAGCCAGTTCAGCAAGATTGAAGAATAGATCAATATGCAAATATTAATTGCATTTCTATATATTTACAATGAACCCTCTGAAAATAAAATAAAATAAAAATTTCATTTGCAATAGTATCAAAAAATCCTTAGATATAAATTTACCAAGAAAGTTCAAAACTTATACTTTGAAACATACAAAACATTGTTGACAGAAATTAAAGATATAAATAAAGACACCCCATGTTTATGAATCGTAAGACTTAAAACTCCTCAAATTGATCTATAAGTTCAAGGAAATTCCCACTAAAATTCCAGCTGGCTTCTTTGTAAAAACTGACAAGCTAATTCTAAAGTTAAATTTACATGTAAACTCAAGGGAACAAGATAAACAAAACATTCTTTTAAAAAAGAGCAAAGATACAGGACTCACACCTTCTAATTACAAAACTTATTACAAAGCAAAAGTAATCAAGAGCGTGCAATACTGTAAATAAAGTTAAAACCCATATACTAAAAGTTAACTCAAACAAGATCAAAGATCTAAGGAGAAGGTCTAAAACTCTAAAACTCTTAGGAGGAAATAACATTACCTTCGATTTGGCAATGGATCGTACATATGATGTTAAAAGCAAAAACAACACAGCAAGGAATAGATAAATTGAACTTCATAAAACAAACTTATGCTTCAAAAGACACTATCAAGAAAATAAAAAGATAACAAACAGAAGGGGAGAAAGTTTTTACATATCATATATCTAGTAAGGACTTTGATGTAGACCTCTTAAATGTTATATAAGGAACATTCACAAATTAAGAGTAATCAATGTAGAACTCTTAAATGTTATATAAGGAACATTCACAAATTAAGACTAAAAAGAAAAAAATAAACTAACCCAATTAAACATATCAAAAAATATGAAAAGAAATTTCTTTAAAGAAGATATGCAAATGGCCAATAAGCCTATGAAAAGATGCCCGGCATTATTAGTCATTGCAAAATGGAGCCAAAACCACAATAAGGTACCATTTCACATCCACAAGGATAGCTAGAATAAAGTTAGACAAGGACAAATGCTGACGAAGATGTGGAGAGGTCAGAACCCTCCTACACTGCAGGTGGGTGTGTAAAATGGTCCAGCCATGTTGGAAAACAGTCTTGATGTTCCAAAACCCTTTCAACACAGACTTACCATGTGATCGAGTGATTTGACTGCAAAGGGAAATAAAAACATAAGTCCACACATAAACTTGTACACAAATGTTCACAGAAAATTATTCCTACTAGCTAAAAGGTGAAAACAACCCAAATGTCTATCAACTGATGAGTGGATAAACAAAATATGGCACACACAGAGAATTGAATATTTTTCCCCATAAAAAGAAATTAAGTACTGAATCATGCTCGATGTGGATAAACCTTGAAAGCTTAGCGAAATGTTAAGTCAAAGTAGCCAAAAATAAAAGACCACATATTGCATAATTCCATTTGCATGCAATGCACAGAATAGGCAATACTGCAAAGACAGAAACTAGATAAATGGTTGCCTGGGACCGAGGGCGGGGAGTGGGGATTGGGGTTGATAGCTAAGGGGTATTGTGGTGGAAGGACTGATTAAAGTATTCCAAAATTGAGTGTGATTTTGGTTGCACAGCTCTGAGAATATACTAAAAATCATTGATTTATACACATCAAAGGGTAAGTTGTATAATATGTGAACTCTATCTCAATAAAACTGTTGTCCCCCAAAAAAGTCTGTGTTAGACATGCTGAAAGTAGAAGGGTCTATGAGAGATGCACTATGATGTCTAAAATTTGCTTTAGGATATCACAGAAAAAGTAACCAGGGCTTTATTTTACTATTTCCTCTAATTGTGTGTACGTTTCAAACGTCGTATATCAAAAGTTACAATAAAAATATTAAGAAAATGCTAGTAGTAGACTTTAGGAAATTTGATATTTGCTAAAAATAATGATTTCTCAGTCCTGTCAGCCTCTTGATGCCTTCCCAGTCACTACAGCACACTTCTCAACATCAAATTAGAAGCTCACTTGCAAATGATGTCACTGGAGCAGTAGAATATTTTTTTGTCCAAATCAGTCAGTAGAGGGACCTGTTGATGGTGATTTGACTCCAAAGTTGCTGAGCTTACCTTCTTCTCTAATCAGAACCAAGTTCAAAGCCCAGCTCCTCCTGTGCTCACAGATTTGGGTGATGGTGATGCAAACTCATCAGCTCAACTCCACAAATGGAAGCTTTGTGCATTGCATAAATGTGCTTTCTTTATAATTTTGTGCAGGATTCTGTTATTCTGGGCTTTGCTTATTTTAAAAATGCTGCACTTCTTATAATCACTGGTGAAGATTTTGCCCTTAATCTTTGGGTATAGAGATATGGCAATAAAGTGATTGAAGTAACAAAATTACCTCAATTTTCATTTGCATCTCAGAATTCATTACATTCTCATCAATTTCAGCCTCTTCTGGGGAATAAAATTATAGAATGATCTTTACTGTAGGTAACATCAAAGAAATAGTTGCGGTCTTAATGTTCATCACTCTGGTTGGTGTAGGTTTACACACACGCAATACACAGAAAATGTTTTCTGCAGTTAGTCACTGGTTCTTAGTAAATCTTGTTCAAATGAGTGTTGTGATTTGTGGTGTTTTTGTTGGTTGCAGTTCATGTAACCATGATAACATGTAGACACTGATCATTCATATTGTTTTAATACGATGCAGCGTTAGTCAACTTTCTTGTATATAACGTAGTTTTCTCTGGCCGAACAAAAGTTATGAAGGTGAATAATACAGTAACAAAATATTCTTTTCCTGACGCAAGAGATAAGAGGGAAAGCGCAAAGAGCAATTCTCAAGCAAACTAAATATTTATCTAGAAACTAAACTAATCTAAAAATGACTAAATTTACCTTGAATTGGAAAAATTGTTTTCTACAACCAAGCAGAGATGATAACCCGATGTTTAAATTGACTCCAATTATAGAGAAATATGAGTGATATTTCTGCATATTCAAATCTGACTTGAAATTCATTTTTGCTTCACATACTCAATGTATTTAAAACACTTACTTTGTGTCCAGTCTTAGTTTAAAACAATATGAGCAGGTAAAAGTTTTTCCTCATTTACAATTGAAAATAAGTTTTATAGAAATGGGAGGTGAAGGAGAGAAAATAAAATCAGACCCTCATCTTATTTCTAGAGAAATAGGTATAAAGCATTAACTCCTCTCCTACACCCAGTGCCACTCATGTTAGCTTTCCACACACTACCATTTTTCTTCTTTCAACCACCATTCTGTTCCCTCCATATTGCTTCCTCCTTATCCAATTTATCTGGCATGATTGTTACTACTTCATAAGCCACAGCTTTTACTAACCGTAATTTGTCTGGCAGCCCCATTTATTCAGAAACATTGACAACTTTCCCTGCCACAGTCTCTCCTGCTCTTACTGACCAACATCAAGCATTGGGAAGATAATTATGTGGTCAAATAATGTTCTCCTATAACCTTTCTCTGCTTAACATCTGTGCCTCCAATACACACACACACACACATGAGCACACACACACACACACGATTCTGAGTAACATTCACAACAAGGAGAATTTAGTATTTAGTCCCAGAAGTTTTATTAAATTAAGAAAACAAGTTGTTCAGGAGCTAAATAACTAAATTAATATTGCTGTAGTCTGGAGCTACGCTTCCATTGTTTTCATTTGCTTTGTTTCATTTGGGTTTTGATTCTGTTAATGACAGAGCAGGTTAACTTCATCTTCACTTTTCTCTGAATCTCCATCCATGATTAGCCTTGTTCCCTTTGTAATCAGAACTGAAGAATCAGCAACCTATGACAAATGCAGGCTCAGGATGGCTATTCTTAGGAAAACTTATCACCACCACTTGGAAAATTATTGTCATTTCAGAAATAAGCATAAAATCCCGAATTAGCAGGGGCGTCTTTGTTGGCATATCACTGCTTCTTGAATGCAGAATGATTCATCCAAGTGCCTTAAATCTAGTTCCTAAAGTATTGATTCTATAGTTGTTTGTTTATATACGTTTCAGTTCATTTCAATAACAAATGTCTTGCCCGTTAAACTAAACTACCTGGTGGTAAGGGCCATGGCTTTCTTTACCAAATTTAGCACCCCACAGTTCCTGGAAAAGCGAAGGCATTCAATAATATTTTTGAATAACTGAATGACTAAAGCGTTTTAATAATATTCAGGGAACAACATAACTCCATAGGTCCTCGGGTTTAAGTAGGGAAATTTCTACCATATTGCAATGGTATTAATAAAAATTTCTTCTGCTAAAGACAAAGTCTGACTACCTCCTCATCAACTGACTTTATTTTCTCTGGTCTATGTCTTTGCTGTATCTCCATTGTGTACATGATTCTACTGTGTTCATAAGATCTTGTTTTAATCTATGTATTGTATACCTATTTTAATTCTTGATTCTGAGCTGATGAAGACCAGGCACGAGTCTTAGTTTTCCCCAACTTTCCAACTCCTGCCCCATTTCCTGGCATGTGATACACACAAAAAACTTTGCACTGATTGAATAAAGTTATAAGTAGCATCAATGGGGTGTACTAATTATTTCGGTAGAATTTCTACATATTTATCTTTCAGTGTAGTGGCTCCTCACAAATGCAGACATGAAAATGCTACCAAGAACCATAATAGTTTGCATTCCAGGCTTGAATATGTCCTGGGCAGAGATACTGGACAAAATGAAAGTGGGAAGAACACACCTTCTAATTTTAGAAAAGTGTTCTATAGTAGAAAATATACTGATTTGAAAGTCAAGGGAATTAGATGACTATTTGGCCAAGAATGTGTTAAGCAACAGATGTTGCTTAACAGATTCAATTCATGTATCTGGAAAGTTGAAAGCCATGAGAGTGGTATGTATTTTTTAAGTTATACAAGGATATAAAACTTACTTCAAATACCATCTTTGTTACCAGGAAACTGGGCAAGTTACTCAGCCTGTGTGAGTGTTAATTTCTTCCACTGTATATTGAGATAATTCCTAACTAGGAGAGTTGATCTCTAAATTATGATTATAAGGAGCTCAGCCCTACACTTTAAAAATACAAGAGACTGTCATGTGTTATAAAGCGAAATAATAAGAATAGCAAATCTATTGCTAAAGAAATGGAAAGAGTAAGTTTTTAAATTCTTTGCACACTAATGAACGGATCTTATACAAAAGCAACCATATTGTTTGTTACAAGAAGAAACCTATTGCTGCTTGGCAGATACTTACAGATAACTGAGCCCTATGGTTTACACAATTGAAAAGAAACAAATTCTGCTGGAAGTAACTCTCAACATGAAAGTGAACTGTTCACAAATACACGTTATTGCAAGACAAAGCAGCGATATCAGTCACACTGCTAATGGCAGCTCAGTCAGGTGTGAAGAAGAAAACAATTTTCTAACATTTCTGAAGGGCCTCAAGAGACGAACTATTCAATTCCCCTTCTGCCCATTAAAAACACAAACTGTCATATTCTGCTGGTCATCTTAGAAGAGAAAAAAGTCTATTAAACAGAATTATTTAGAATAGTTTCAGGTTTCCTGTTCACAGACTTGGGAGAGTGCTATCTCTTACACATCATATAGGTGACAGTACTGAACTAAACTGGCGTGGATGGGTTGCCCTCTCTTCCAAACACATAGACATGTTTGATAAAATATAAGATAGCTGAGTTCCAAACCAGACAAAAAAATCAAATGCATTTCTAAGTGTGTGTTCAAAGCTAAGAGAGTAAAGACTTGCTGCAGGAGGCTTTGGACCTGCAAGCAGGAATTAGGAGAAATGGCATTAATTCATAAGTAGGTACAGGAAATGAGAGCTCAGGTTTCTGTGAAGCAGAGTTGGAACACGTGAATGGTATAAAAACCTTTAAGAACTTAAAACCTCTAAGAGTTGCATTGTCCATGCAGCTAGGAACAGAACAAAAGAAATGCTCTTAGTATCCTAAGAAAGGGGCAAGGAAGATTGCAAGCAAACAACAGCCACAGTTTGAAATAGAGTTCCTGGTGAGAAATCAGAAATCTTAGAATTCTATTAGGACACAAAGGGGAGGACGTACTGGATTTGCATGGTGTAATCACTGTTGCTGTTTTTTGAGTATCAAAATGAGTCTAGAACGGGTAAAATCCTTAATGCTTTAGCAGTAGCAAACTCAAAAATATATTTATAGAATGTTTCCAACGTGGAATTCCATTGAAAGCAACCTCTCTACTAATGATCTGACAGGGAGGATGGGGATTAAGAATCAAGAAAAGTAGAGAGCCCACCCACCTACAGCAGGAAAATAAGAATTCTAGGATGAGCGCTCAGGACTGGTCATTTGCCAGACTGAAGTCAAGATGAAAATTGTCAGATGGAAAGAAGGTATCAGCTTATGAATGAGAGAAATAAAAGCAAGTTTGTATCTAACACTATCAGATAAGCTGAAACCTCAAAGTCAAAGAGAAAAATCTTAAAAGTTAACAGGATAAGAGGGAAAAGCACAACCTCCGGGTTCTCCTTACCCTGGATTAACTCTCTGTCTGTCTCTGCTGCTGTTGCACACTTCACAATATGGGACGCTGACTTTTACAGCCCATGTCCCATGGGGTTTCCTGCTCCGCAGCATCTAGTTGGTTTCAGTCCATGCAAGAAACTGGCAGAGGATTGCAAATCTAGAGGGGAGAGCAGCAGAGATCCTTGTTTCCTGCATTTCCTGCTTCAGTATGGTTCTGCCCAGGGCTTCATCCCTGTATGGTGACATCTTCTCCTATTGCTCCGATTCTCACCCAGGTTCTGGAAACATTACTCCCTCAGCTTTTAGGTACAGCCTTAAAGGAATGCTGGATCCCCCTTTATGTGTGTGTGGGTCCCTGGAGACATCAATATTTCTTGTCTGTTTCCTTAGCCTCACCCACATCAGCATACACAGTCCCTTCGTAAAATCCCTTGAATATGCTTGGCTTGCAAAGACCAAGGCTTGCTCCAACAGGTTACCTACAAAGAAGAGAAAATTAGGCAGGCATCATATTTCTTATTAGAAATAACAATAACTCTTAAAATTAAAGGACTCTAGGGAAGACTTTGACTTAGAACTATATGTCTAACTGAATTATTGCTCATGCGTAAGCAAAAATAGGGAAAAAACCCTTAAAATAACCACAAAACAGTTGCAAAACATTCTTAATAATAATATTAAAAGACTAATAAATGATGCACTTTTGTGTAAAAGAAAGGAGTCAAATTCAAGACAAAGTAGCAATGAACAAAGTGACCATCGCGTGTAATCTCAAACTCAATCTCATACTGCCTTTAACAAAGTCTACCATGGTGAGTATAATAAAAAGAAATGTGTACTAAAATACTAGACATCAGTAAGGTGGAGGATCACAGATATCTCTTTTTAGGTTTTATGTATTGCTTGAGAAGATTATCTTGTAGGTTGACAACAACCTTGAAATCAAGTAAATATGGTAAAATTTTTACAGAAAAAAATCAAGAATAAAACAGAATTAACATATTCCAAACCAATAAACAAACTAGATTGTCTAATACCAAACAAAGGAGTCTCAAGAACAAAGTATGTCAGAACCACTGAATGAAACTACTTTTCCACAGTGTTCATTTTCATGTAAGAGAAGCTAAAAAGCTTTTTGGGGCCGGGCGCGGTGGCTCAGGCCTGCAATCCCAGCACTTTGGGAGGCTGAGGCAGGCGGATCACGAGGTCAGGAGATCAAGAGCATCCTGGCTAACACGGTGAAACCCAGTCTCTACTAAAAATACAAAAATTACCCAGGCGTGGTGGCGGGCGCCTGTAGTCCCAGCTACTCGGGAGCCTGAGGCAGGAGAATGGCGTGAACCCGGGAGGCAGAGCTTGCAGTGAGCCGAGATTGCACCACTGCACTCCAGCCTGGGTGACAGTGAGACTCCGTCTCAAAAACACCAAAAAAAGCTTTTTGGAATTATTGGTTTCTTTTTCTTTTCTTTTCTGTTGCCACTGAGTCCCAGTCCACTTACACCTTCTCAATATATCATGTTGTCTGCCTGCATTCAAGCCTATCTATTCTTCTCACATTTTTTTTTCAGAAGTTTCCCATTGAAATTAGTGCAGATAAAAAATAGATGCACTAATTAATACAGGTTGGAATATTGAACTAGAGATGAGGAGTAAGAGTTCAGTCTTAATCTTGGCTTTAGGCCAAGACGACTTATGCACTTCTTACACAATAACATTTACCATACTTAAGGTAGCATATTTGGTGCGGAAGGGAGTTAAAAACAGAAAGATCGGTTTTATGGGTTTGAGGCCTTGTGATGTAAATAAGTTATAAATAGTGTCTGGCAACAGATGGGAAACTAAGAATATCATTCACTTTTTTCATAATGGTTATGAATAATGGAGCTTGTCCTAAAAATCTGCAAAATTTCTAAATTCTAAATTTTATTTTGCCCTTTGGCCTTATGCACCATTGAAAAACATATTTCCTTCCCATCTTACATAGAAATATTAATGCTAAGATTAAAAAAGAAATATTAACGTTAGATAAATAAGATAGGCTGTCTAATTTACATCTTTAAAAAGTTGATCGGAAAAACAGAAGAATTTTTTTTAAGTTGAGAATAACTGACTTCTTTACTTGCAAAAATACTGCAAGTCATTTCATCATTCCAGTGTTCTTAATAAAAGTTTCCTCCTCAATAATCTTTGAAGTTATTTTTTCTTATTGTATAATAACAAAAAAGCTTGTTATAAATAGTAGTTATTCTATGTAAGGCAGTTGGATTATGGTGGGGAAATTTTTAGAAGAATATGTGAATTGTGGAAAAAACTTAAAAATTAATATATTTTCTTATTCAGTTAAAAAGTGTCCTTTTTGTTGTTGTTCAGCTGAGGATTTTTTTCCCTGCAGTAAGGCGGTCTCATTGCTTAAAAACAATATATTGATTTATATTCTAGCACAAGCTCCTTAATATGGGTAACTATCATGAGAACACACCCGTAGAAAAGACTCCAAACCACTTCTTATGACAACATAATTCCTTATGGTTTTATGCTGTTCAGAGTTGGATGTGATTTTCAAGAATACACTTGTAACTGAAGAGTTCTACTCTTCCTTCCTCATTATATTCAAATCCCATTAAGAACAGAAGTGACATTTTATGTTTTGTTATTTATCGTGCTGAAATGAAAAAAAAAACACAACATCTCATATATTCTTGACATATTCTCCCATTAGTATTTAGTGCCTAAATAATTTGAGCTATGTGATGTCAAGGAAAAGCAGTTCTTAAAAAAATAACTTTTAGGCAGTTTATTCATCATTTACAAGCAAAGCTCTTTGATGCAGACCTTCACTAAATGGATAGGCCATTGGACACGATTTTTCATTCTTAGTAACCTAAAGTGCCACTTTACAAGAATCCTAAAAGCACCAATGTAAAATATTGAATATTTGCTTATGTCAGGGTTTTAATTAAACATTTTGTTTTCTGTGAATATTTTTGACTTTGAACTTATTTTTATGTATTTAAATGCAGCTTATGCTTAGTTTATTGTTTCATTGCTTCACTAACCAATATATATTCAAAATAAAAGAATAATTTTAGCACTTAACAATTATGACCACAAAACTGAACTTAATAAACATTTGTGATTATAAATCTGAAAAAAACTAGTATTTTTCTCCAGAAGCACTTCTTTAATATTTTTCAATTTATAGTCATTACTGCATTTAGAAGAAAAATGTGTTCTTACTTGACAAAAATTCTAGCGAAGCTTGTTTCACTACTTGTAAATTAGGATTGAAAAGAAAAATGATTTTATTGACTGTGATTAAATGATAATACTTGACTATAAGTCAGACTGAACTATGTGAAATTAAAAAAAGATTATAAAAACAAGTTATAAAACAAATTAATTATTACCTATTGTTAGATTTTTATACATTTAGATTATAATTGACAAATTCACCTTAAACTACCACATATTTTAAAGTGATATAGTTGAACATGACTGGTATTTGGCTCTTGCCACATGTGACTCACCAGTGGAATTTGTTGACTTCCGAATCAGTTTATAACTTGGTGAATGAAACAAGTCCATAGTTCAAGAATATAAGTGATGTAATAATTTCAAACACCATGAAATTGTCTAAATAGTCATTCCAAATGTCTGTCCTCACTCTGGACTCCACAATATACAGTCCCTGGACCAGAACCAGTTTTGAGACTCCACTTTGAGCAGCACAGTCTTGTGGTCCCAGGAGGGCAGTGCCAGGGACTATTCCCCGGGAGAAAGGTGAAACCCATATAATGTACTGCCTTTGATCATAACTCAAGATGATTTACTTCAGCAGCCAGTAGAGATTTCTGAAAGTAAGAAAATGGAATGACCAGTCTTAGGAATATTAGTCACACCTAAGTGTTTCAGATGGTGTGAATAATGGAAGGCAAGAGTCAAGAAAATTTAAATAATCCAGAGACTGGGTTAGAATGATGATTCTGAATTTGAGAAGAAGCAGACAACTTAAAGTAAAATCAAATTTAATATGGTTTTAACTCTGATGTTTCTATTGCCATGTTTTAAATTTCTAACAACATATCTTTCTTAGCAGGTCTTAGTGAAACAAAATATGTGTGTAGTTATTTAAAAATATATTTTATACAATCCTCAAAATAAAACAAAGATGGTGACATCTGTCTCCGGTATCAAAGCAAAGACCATACTGGCAAAATTTGTGGGAAAATAACATTTCTAGAACTGTAAAAATCAGCCAAAGTTCTGAAAGAATCTGGAGCACATTAAGAAAAACGTCTGCATATTAGTAAGAATTGTAAGTGTGTTTTAACATGCCGTATTTTATTTTATCTCTCTAGATTTGTGACAGGTTTGAAGTCAAGAGCCCCAACATCATAATGAAAACCAGAAATCTACAGCCTTTTACTGGGGTGGGGGAAGAGGTGTAGAAACCATCTAAAGCTTGCTTCCAGAAAATTATAATTATTTGTCATACTGATAGCACCCTAAAAAATCCTCATTTGCAGGGATTTCATTGATTTGACCTGAATCTGATGCTACCTAATGTAGCTTTTGCCTCAAGAACCCTTCACAAAAGCAATCAATGGTGATGGTTTAATATCCCAGATGCCAGACATGGCAAGAATGGGTGAGGCAAACAAAAAACTGAACAAAAACAAAAAATAAAAAGCTATGGGATGAGATGTCCATAGAGAGCTTTAAAAATGCTGACATGACCAGGCACACCTGTAATCCCAGCACTTTGGGAAGCCACGGCAGGCAGATCACCTAAGGTCAGGAGTTCAAGACCAGCCTGGCCAACGTGGGGAAACCCCATCTCTACTAAAAACACAAAAATTAGCTAGGTGAGCACCTGTAATCCCAGCTACTTGGGAGGATGAGGCAGGAGAATACCTTGAACCAGGGAGGCAAAGGTTGCAATGAGCCAAGATCACATCACTGTACTCCAACCTTGGTAGCAGAGTGAGACTCCATCTCAAAAAAAAATAATAAAATAAACAAATAAATAAATAAATATCTTTGACATATTTCTGACACAAACTGAGAAGCTTATACATTTTGGAATGTACCTATGTATGTCAAAGAAATACCCTAAGTAGGCCCCTTACCTTTGCAAGACCTTGAGACCTTGTTCATATAGGAGGTGGGTGTTAAAGCAGAGCTGTAAACACTGCCTGCTTGAGTGTTGAGGTGTGTCCTAAAATGCACTCAAAACTGATGAGCAAGCACTAGGAGATTACTGGTTGTAGCCTTCTAAGAAATAGAACTGGGCCGGGCGCGGTGGCTCACGCCTGTAATCCCAGCACTTTGGGAGGTCGAGGCGAGTGGATCATGAGGTCAGGAGATTGAGACCATCCTGGCTAACAAGGTGAAACCCCATCTCTACTAAAAATACAAAAAATTAGCCGGGCGCGGTGGCGGGCGCCTGTAATCCCAGCTACTCGGGAGGCTGAGGCAGGAGAATGGCGTGAACCCGGGAAGCGGAGCTTGCAGTGAGCCGAGATTGCGCCACTGCAGTCCGCAGTCCGGCCTGGGCGACAGAGCGAGACTCCGTCTCAAAAAAAAAAAAAAAAAAAAAAGAAATAGAACTGAAGCTAACTGAGCAGAGAGTACAATGACCACAAATAACAAATAACACAGATATTAAGGAATTAGTCCAAGAAAATAGCTAAGCAACAGCAAAAATAATTCAAGGAAAGTATGAGAGTAATGTCTAACCAAATAAACAATATCAATAAAGACATATAAATTACCAAAAAAATAGCAATTCTGGAGTTGATAATTACAATAACTGAAATAAAAATGCACTAGAGTAATTCAGCAGAAGATATAAGATAGTGTAGAAAGAATCAGTGAATTTGAAGATGGGTTAATTAAAATATTTATTTTGTTAAAAAAATAACAGAAAAATAATTTTAAAAGGGAAAGAGCAAAGCCTCAGAGACCCCTGGGACACTGAAAGCATTCCAGGATACACATGATGAAGAGTCTCCTAAGGAGATGAGAAAGAAAAGGGGACAGAAAAAGTATGGAAGAAATAATAATCAAAAACATCACATATTTGATGAAAGACATGAACATACACATCCAAGAAATGCAATAAACTCCAGTATGAAAAATTCAAAGCATCCACAATGAAACACATCATAGTCAATGAAACACATCACAGTCAAACTGTCAAAATGCAAGTCAAAGAGAGAATATTGAAGCAACTCATCAAGGCATCCTTAATAAGATTACTAGCCGATTTTTCATCAGAAGCCATAAAGATCAGAAGACAATGGGATGATAAATGCAAAATGCTGAAAAAAAACAGTCAGCCAAGAACTCTATACACAGTAAAATTATACTTCAAAATGAAAGAAATTAAGACATTCTCATTTAAACATAAAACAGGAAAATTTATACCCAGCATATCTGTCCTGAAAGAAATATTGAGAAAATCCTTTAAACTCATGGACACTAGAAAAAAAATTCAAGTCCACACAATACAATGAAGAGCTTTGGTAAAAGTAACTACAAAAGTAAACACAAAATACAGTACAGCTGTATTTATTTTTGTAACTTTTTCTTCCACATGTGATATATAAATGAGTAAATATGTACTAAGTATAAAAATAGTAGCACAAATGAGGGCGAAAATAGGAATATACAAAAGCAAATTTTTATATATGTTAAATCACCTTGGATTTAATCTAAACTAGATTGTTATAAATTCAGATGGCTATTTTAATTTCTAGGGCAACTACTAAGAAAATAACAAAAATAAAATAAAATAAATGACAGTATAATTTAAGTAGCACAGTAGAAAATATTTATTTAACATAAGAGAGTGCAATAATTGAGGAATAAAATAATAAAAAGGACATACAGTATATAAAAACAAATAAAATGGCAGATATAAATCTTACCTTATTAATAACTACAACCAAAGTAAATAGATTGAACACTGTGAAAAGGTAGAGGTTGACAGAATGAATTTTTTTTAAATGGTCTGATGTTACACTGTATGCAGAAGACACGCATTAGATTTAAACACACAAATCGAACGAAAGTAAAATGATAGATTTAAAAAGGATATTTTAAAAACTGTAACCGATAATAGCTATCTTAACATCAAGTAAAAGAGACTTCAAGACCAAAAATAATTACTAGATAAAAGGGGTATCTTATAATTATAAAAGGTTTAAAAAGTCAAGAAGATAAAACATTTATTAAAATATATGCATTTAGCAGCATAATCACAGTATGCATAAAACAAAAACTGACTGAAACGAAAACAAAGTAGAAAATTTGACAGTAATAATTAGAGACAAAAAGAACCAACTTTCAGTAATGGATCTAACCACTAGACAGAAGACTGAAGAGGAAATAGAGAACATGGTAAACACTATAAGCCAACAACTTATTTGTGGAATAGGGCATGGAGGGTACTTCTGCTTTGTTGCTCTGCCAATGGGAAGATGCTCTGTGATCCAAGATATTTCTCTACCTCTTCTACATTCCAGCCAGCAACGAGTAGGGATGGGGAGTGGAAGCCAATGTCTTGCCTGAAAACAATAAACAGAACATTTCTGCTCTTATCTTCTTGGTGAGAAATCAGTCATGTGTTTTTGCTCATATGCAAAGTCTGGAAAATATATTAAAGGTGGTCATATGTGTAACTAAAAGGAGAAGTAGAGAACGGGCATTAGGAACCAATTATCATTCTCTCACTACAGGAATCAAAGGAAAAATGGAAGTTAATACAGTTTAAATACACATTTAAATAGAGGTTGATATCATGGTTGCCACCATTGCAAATGACAACCTTAGTAAGAAGGGAACAGTATTTCAGATGCTACTCTACGGAGAAGCGGTATTATTATTAAGTCAATTTTCCCTTGACCCTTCTAAATGCCTCGTTCCAAAGGGATGTTTTGCTGAGTGATAGAATCAGAATCTCAGTTGACATTCTAATTAGAGAAATGGTCGATTGAAAGGTTTTGTTTGTTTGTTTGATACAGGGTATTCCCCTGTTTCCCAGGCTGGAGTGCAGTGGTGGCTCACTGCAGCCTCAACCTCACAGCTTAAGCAAACCTCCCACCTCAGCCCCCTGAGTGGCTAGGACCACACACACACAACATCACACCTGGCTGATTTTTGTATTTTTTGTAGCGACTGAATGTTGCCATGTTGTCTAGGCTGGTCTTGAACCCCTGGGGTCAGTTGAGCCACCATCTTGGCCTCCCAAAGTTCTGGGATTAGAGGCATGAGCCACCGTGCACAGCCTCATTGAAGTATTGAGGCAGGAAAGAACACATGGTGAGCCTGAAGCGTCTTGTAGTTCCAGTAAGTAAGTGCTAAAACACGCACACACAGATACACACAGAGATGATGGGGGAATGTGAAAAGGACATTGGAACTAACTGAGATAACTGGCTAGAGTTGAAACTGCGACAATTTGGACAATAAAACAAAGTAACGATAAGCTACACCCCAAGTATATTATTGACTTCATACTGAAATAAGCAAATGGTTGAATATGTAAAGACATGAGGGAGCACAGGGAAGTCTCCTGTGCAAAGAATTAAATATATTGTATCAAGATACTCTGCTCTAAAGAGTGGACCATAACTCTGTGTTACGGGTGCGTTTAGTGACTTCCTTCTACAGAGAGCAGGAGGGAAAGGCAAGAGGAGGCATGTGACTTTCAGTGGAGAAACCTGACAACATTGTTTCAGCCAGCTGTCAAGCTTAACGTCAACAGTAATAAATCACATTTATAGTGATAGATCAGCTTGACCCTTCTCCAACATGAAAGTATGAGCTATTTTGTATTAACATGGTTCTCATTAGCCAATGTAATGGTGGGAATTTTAACTGAGAGTTCTCGTGAATCAATGTTTTGAAATGACGTGATGAAAAGGATACTTTATCTCTGGGTCTTTCTACCCATACTTCTGACCTAAGAATGGGAAAAACATCAGATAAATTCCAGTCAGATGAAAAAATCCAAGTCCCAACATTCTACGAAATAACTGACCTGTTCTCTTTAAAACTGCCAAGACCAGTTAAATTAATAAATTGTCGAAAGCCACTAGGAGGCCAAGGAGACAGTGACTGCTAAATGTGTTGTAATATTTGAATAAGATTGTATCAAAGAAAAACGACATTAGTTAATATGTCAGGAAAAATGAATGAAGTTTTAATTTTGCTAATAACAATATAGGTAATGATAATCAACAACTAGCTAAAAAGATCCTGCATACAAGAACAATAGAAGGAAAATTAAAAGGAAGGAAATAAATATTTGAGTTTATTGGATTCATAACAACCTGACAAGGGATAAAGTGAATTTGCAGTAATATTTGTTTTTAATTTGGAGAAAAAAATTTAAATATTTAAATTCTACTTTTGTAATCACAGTGGCTATATAATCTTACATATCTAAATATGTATATATTTTTATATGTGAATAAACAAGGGTATTTGTAGGTTTTACATAACTTTTAGCAACCTTCAGCTCTTTTGTCTTCTTTTAAAACCACTATTCACACTGTGTCTGTGAAAGTAAATTTCCTTTTCGTGATTTGATGATATTGATGGTTATTGTCAAACTTGGTAAGAGAAATACAGCTTCAAATGAAAAAACAACAGTCGTCCACCGGGCAGCCTCTTATTTTGTCAGGGGGCAGAGTTAATTTGTGCCACTTCAGCAGAGTAGATTCCTTCTTTCACAGCCTGGGTTTAATGATGGCATTGATCAAAATGTTAATTTATGTTGATTTATCAAGACATGGTGATTGTAGTGATAAGCCTTCATGATTGGTACTTCCAAAGTAAATGTACTGAAATGATATATGCGTGTTTCCCTGGCCACAGAAATAGATTTTGCTCTGCAGTTAATGTTTCATAGAACCCAACTTCATTAGGCAGAACTCAGTTAATGACATCATGAATTTGTTTCATTTTATCAAATTGCATTAATTAGGGAAATGTGCTGAATGTTGATTGTGAAGAAACATACTCTTTTTCCTTGGGATGATGGAAGAAAAAACAAGGTAATTGGATTAATTTTACCTTCCATTTTTTTTCTTTAACCTCTGTTAACAAGGAATGAGAAAATCCTTTCTCAACAGAAAGGCATAAGCAGCTTTGTGTTAACATAATTCTTATTAGCCAATTTAATTGTAGCAATTTTAAGTGCAAGTTTTATTGGACTGGTGCCAGACTCTGACAACCATATTAAATACAGTATCTCCAGAGTCTTAGACATTTGAAAATAAAAGTTTGAGTTTTCCCATAATGGTTTAAAACAAATGCAAAATAAAAAACAAGCACTGATTTCTTTCTCATCGTTCTATAAATTATTTATGTTTGGTATGTTATATCACCCCTGCCCTCAAAGCTTAGAATAATGTTATCTGTGATCAAGCAGATCTGTTGTAATAATGGTCTACTGCAGAGTCCACATGATTCATGGTGATCTGTGTGAGTTGTTTAAAATATTGTGCATGGCACTTAATTATAGTAATAGATTATCACAACAGTTGAAAATCACATCATTTGCATGTAATTATGGGTGTTCTCTAGATTGGAGGGGGACAGGTAACTTTCTTTAATGAGAAAACATGGGTCTTTTGTTGTCTTTATTCCGTTGGGGGCCCTAGTTCCAGTTCATGTTGAAAAATACATTTCATGAATATGCCACATGCAGCCCAATAGCTGTTCTGTATTCAAGCCCAGTAAGCATGTTCCCACTGAGACATGAAACAAATCACACCCTTTAGAAATAAGTACCTACTGGGTTCAAAGCGGAGGTCATCTTCATGTTTAAGCTCTAAGTAACCAAGAAAGAGGTTTTATTCTAAACTTAGAGTGAATCATTGCTTCGTGCACATGCATGTTATCCGCAGAGGTAATATAAGCAAATTAAGCAATTGTTTTCATACGAAACTATTCAGAAGTATACACCACACACACACACAGACACACACACACACACACACACAGACACACGTCAGAGTAGAATGGTTCCTTAGTCTCTTTTTTGTGATTTGGAGAATAGAGTTAAATAGGCATATGATGAAATACCTTTTAAAGAAAAATGATATGGCTAATTTTCAATTTAAAATGTGGAAGGTACATTGGATGCCTAAAGATGTCTCTAACTGATATGAGGAATTTACAGTCTTTTCTCTTTCCAAGTCTCAGTCTGCTCATCTCTAAATTAGCTCCTTCCTACTCTGATATTTTAGGATTTTATGATTTAAAAAATACTATCACTTTAGTCATCTTGACTCTGCTATATAAACAATGTTTTATTTTATCAGACTTTATGAAAAATACAAAATAAGTACAGCATTCATCTGAGAAATATTTACTACTTATCCATATGAAAGTAGTTGTATTCTACTAATTTCAGAGGAAGTGGTTATAAATGTCAGAGATACAGTGTAAGGAAAGCAAGAGAGAGTTGAGCCGTCCATCACTTCGATTACATGAGGTGGGCGATGAAGAGGCAGGGATCTGTGTGTTATGACACAGGTAGAGGGTGACGCGATCGAATTGAAACCCGCTGAATATAGCGCATTTTCTATCATTCCCTGAATCTTGCTGGTATATAAAGACATATTAGATTAATTGACTTTAAACTCTAATAAAGATGATAACTAGATTTAACATTTATTTGTTTTTATTTTACAGTAATTTTATGTGTATGTAATTTGAGAAGATAGAGCATAGGCTTGCCATCCATTTCTGATGCTTCCAAAATCAACTTCTTATATTGGTATGGTATGATTTTACAAATCGTGCCTCAATATTGAATCATTATTATTAACAAAATTCCATACTTCACTATGATTCCTTTTAATTTTTAACAATTTTTACTCCAGAATTCCATCTAGGAAGCTGTATTGCATTGAATTGTCATGTCTACTTAGGCTCTTGCCCCTGATAATTTCTTAGACTTTCCTCACTTTTGATGACCTTGACAACTTTAAGACATACTCATTAGATACTTTGTAAACTGTCCCGTGGTTGGATTTACCTGATGTTTTACTCATGATTAGACAAGGATTGTGGGTTTGGGGGAGGAAGACTAAAAAAGGTAAAGCGCCATTTTTGCTATATCTTATCAAGAGTGCATGTGATTAACATGATTTACCATGATTGATGCTGACCTGCTTCACGTGACTGAGGTGATGTGCTATGGTTTGGCTGTGTCCCCATCCAAATCTCATCTTGAATTGCAGTTTCCATAATCCCCATGTGTGGTTGGAAGGACCAGGTGGGAGGTAATTGAATCAAGGGAGCGGTTACCTCCATGCTGTTCTCTTGATAGTGAATGAGTTCTCATGAGATCTGATGGTTTGACAAGGGGCTTTTCGTCCTTTTGCTTGGCACTTCTTCTTGCCGCCACCATGTGAAGAAGGATATGTTTGCTTCCTCTTCTGCCATGATTGTAAGTTTCCTGAGGCCTCCCCAGCCACGTTGAACTGTGAGTCAATTAAACCCCTTTCCTTTATAAATTACCCAGTCTCAGGGACGTCCTTATTATCAGTGTAAGAACAGAGTAATACATGATGGTTGTCATATTTTTCCACTATGGAGTCAATCTCATCTTTTCTCACTTTCCACACTGTGCACTTTGTAAGTAGTCACTCTGTGCAGCCTACGTTGAAGGGGTGGGAAGTTATGTTCAACTCCCTTGTGAGCAGAGTATTTTTGTGTGTGTATATTTTCTAAAATTATTCTCCACAGCAGACTTGTCTACCATCTTTCATTTATTTTTTAATATATTATATCCATATGGACTCATGGATACTTATTTCTTAACTCAGGGTATAGTCAAATACTACATTACGTAATGTTTTGCTCAAAGTATTTCAAATCTGGACATTAGGAGCACTATCATTTGACCCTTGTGTTCCTTTTACACATTCCTATCATTTTACATATTTTTTAACCCTTCTTATTTCCTGCACTATAAGATACTGCAGGATCCACTTGTATAAGCCCAGCGCCAGTCCTGGAATCAACCATTTCTCCAAGGAACTCTGATTCCTTTCATGGGAGAGCAGCATTATAAATCACTATTCCATCACTAGGCATTCTTACTGCTATTGGAGTATTGTTCCTTGTGCTCTTTCACCAGTACCATGTGGTCTTGTATAATGCTACTTTGAATAACGTAACTTTACAGTAGGTCTTGAATTTAGGGAGTGAAGTTCTTTCAACTGCTGTATTTCAGTAATGTTTAAGCTACTGTAGGTCTTTTGCCTCTCCATATTAAGTTTAGGATAAATTTGTCCATGTCTATAGAATAGCTTGCTGGGATTTTGAGTGAGATTGCATTACATGTATAGATCAGGTTAGCAATAACTGACACCTTAATAATACTTGCTGTCCCAATACATGAACCTGGACTATCTTTCCATTTATTTAGATTTTCTTTGATTTCTTTCATCAGAGATTTGTAATTTCTTGCAGATAAATCCTGTACATATTTGGTTATATGTTGCCTTAGTGTGTTCAGGCTGCTTTAGCAAGATACCACAAATTGGATGTCCTGAATAACATCCAGTTTTTCGGAAGTTATTTATTTATTTTTGGTTCTGAAAGCTGAAAAGTCCAAGTTCAAGGTGCCAGCGGATCTGGTGTCTGGTGAGGGCTAGTTTCTGTTTTCCAGACAGCCATTTTCTCACTGTGTCCTCATAGAGCAGAAAGAGAAAACAAGCTGTTGTGTCTTTTTATATGGTCACTAATTCTGTTACTGTACCTCCTAAAGACCCTACTTCCTAATATCATCACATTGGAGGTTAGTGCTTCAACATATGAATTTTGCAGAGACACAAACATTTAGTCCATAACATAGCTATACCTAAGTATTATATTATAATTGGGTTGATTGTAAATGGTAATATTTTATTTAGTTTTTAATTTCAAATCCCAAAAGTTCATTGCTTGTATATGGGAAAGCAATTGACTTTTGTATTCTAGCATTGCATCTATGGTCTTCCTATTTCTTATTAGTTCCAGGAATCATTTTTTTCAGTTGTTTGAGATTTTCTACATAGATCAATGTAATATACAAATACAAACTCTTTTATTTTGTTCTTCCCAACCTATATAACTTTATTTCCTTTAATTTTGTATTGCACTAGGTAATATACCCAGAATGATGTTGAATCAGAGGGATAAAAGAGGACATCCTTGCCATGTTCCTGACAATAGAAAAATGACCAGATTTTCACCATTAAGTATGATGTTAGCTATAGGTATTTGGAAGATGTTCTTTAACAAGCTGGAGAAAGTCTCCTGTAGTAGTAGTTTGCTGAGAGTTTTTTTCAGGAATGGCTGTTGGATTCTGTGAAATTATTTTCCTAAAGTAATTCATATGGTAAAATACTTTGTCAGTGGTGGTGTTGGTTTTGATGTGTTTTAGCAAAGTGACTTCTTTTTTATTGATAAATGCTATTACCTGAATATTGGTGTACTGCCACCTCAAATTTATATGTTGAAATCCTAACTTCCAAGGTGATAGTATTAGGAGTTGGGGCTTTTGGGTGCTGATTTGGTCATGACAGTGGAGATCAGTGCCTTTATAAAAGAGACTCCAAAGAGCTGGCTCATTCCTTCCTCCATGTGAGAATGCCGCAACAAGGTGGCTGCCTGTCAACCAGGAAACGAGTCTTCACCAAACATTGAACCTGCTGATCTCATGACCTTGAACTTCCCAGCCTCCAGAACGGTGGAAAATAAAGCCTTGTTGTTTATGTGCCACCAACTTCATAGCATTGTCTTATGGCAGCCTGAAAAATCTAAAACAATGAACCAACACTGGATATCTGACCATGCTGTATAATTCTTTTAATACATTTTTTGACTTAATTTGCTATTTTTTTGAAAACGTTACATCTACATTTATGAGAGATATTGGTCTATTCACCTGTGTCAGAATTTAGTTTTATGTGAGTATACATTGAGTTTCAGGGCTGGCTGCGGTGGCTCACGCCTGTAATCCCAGCACACTGGGAGGCCGAGGCGGGTGGATCACGAGATCAGGAGATCGAGACCATCCTGACTAACATGGTGAAACCCCGTCTCTACTAAAATACAAAAAGTTAGCCGGGCATGGTGGCGGGCGCCTGTAATCCGAGTTACTTGGGACACTGAGGCAGGAGAACGGCGTGAACTCAGGAGGCGGAGCTTGCACTGAGCCGAGATTGTACCACTGCACTCCAGCCTGGGGGACAGAGCAAGACTCCATCTCAAAAAATAAATAAGTAAGTAAGTAAATAAATAAATAAATAAATAAAATAAATTGAGTTTCAGAAAATGAATTAAAATGTGATCTTTCTAGGCTGGGCACAGTGGCTTATGCCTGTAATCCCAGCACTTTGGGAGGCCAAGACGAGTGGATCACTTGAGGTCAGGAGTTCGAGGCCAGCCTGGCCAACATGGTGAAACCCCATCTCTACTAAAAATACAAAAATTAGCTTGGCATGATGGTGCATGCGTGTAGTCCCAGCCCCTCAGGCAGCTGAGACAGGAGAGGGGAATTGCTTGAAACAGGGAGGCAGAGCTTTACAGTGAGCCGAGATCATGCCACTGCACTCCAGCATGGGCAACAGAGTGACACTCATCTCAAAAAAAAAAAAAAAAAGTAAACTTTTTGCTTCTGATTTTTGAAAGATATTGTGGATAATTAGTATTCTTTTTTTCTTAAATGTTTGGTAAGATTCACAAATGAGACTCTCTGGGCCTCATGTTTTCTTTGTTAAAATACTGAAAATACCAGTTAGATTTATTTGATATTTATAGGTTGACTCAGCTAATTCATTTTTCCTTGTTAAGCGATGGTATTATATGTCTTTCAATGAATGATCCACCTCACTTAAAAGATCGAATTGTGAGTTATGAACTTGTTTATAATACTCTTTATTACCTTCACAATGCACACAGGATCAGTAGAGATCATAGAAAAATCCCACTTCTATTTTTGATATTGCTAATTTGGGGCTTTTCTTTCTGTTGGTTACTTTGGCTAAAAGTTTATCAACTTTACTAATTTCTTTCAAAGAAAACTTTGCTGATATTCCGGTTTTTTTCTGTCTCCAGTTCAATTAATTTCTGCTTTAATTTTTTATTAATTTCCTTTGTTTCCATTAAGCATAAATCATTTTTCTTTCCCAATTTTTAAAAATGGAAGCTTCGGTGATTGATTTTAGATTTTGAAATTTTCTAATATGTACATTTAGCGCTATAAATTTTCTTCTACATGCTGTTTTTAATACATCTCATATATTTTGATGAATTGTGTTTTTATGTTAATTTTGAACAAATATTTTTAATTACTATTAGGACTTCTTTGACGCGTGTGTTATTTAGAAACATGTTTTTGAATCACCAAAGATTTTACAATTTTCCATTTCTCTTTCTTCTATTGTTTTCTAAATTATTTCTATTGCGATCTGAGAATATACTTAGATTTCTATTCTTGTATTTAGTTAAAAAGTGTTTTATAGCCCATGATTTTGTCTAACTTGGAGAATGTTCTATTAATCTGAGGAAACCTGATCAAGTTAAAAGATTGTGCTCTTCAGGTCATCTACATTCTCACTGAGAATTTTTTCTGTTGCATGTATTAATTCCAAAAAGAAGGCTGTTGAAGTGTCCTATTATAAAAGTTTCTACTGGTCACTTTAGTTCTGTAAGGTTTTTGCATCACCTATCAGATGCTCAGTAGTTAAGTGCATATATGTTTAGGATTGTTATGTCGTTCTGGATAATTGATCCCATTTATCATATGTAATACTCCCCATAATCCCAGATGTCCATTTCTGTAAAATTGATAATCCAGGATACTTTCCATTAAAGTTAGTAAGCAGTATAATTTTATAATTCACCTAATTTTTACTATTCGCTTATTGAGTCTTTATATTTAAGTGAGTTTTTTGTGACAACATTTTTGGGGGCTTAGTTTTGTTTTTGCTTTTATTAAATCACTCTGAGCCGTCTTTGTTTTTTGCTTGCTGTATTTAAATCCTTCATATTTAAAGTGGTTTTTGTATATTTGGATGAATACCTACCATGTTTTTAACTGTTTTCAATCCATTGTATTTGTTGTTCTTGTTCTTTTATTTTCTGCCTCGTCTGAGTTTAATTCAAAATCTGACATGATTCCATTTATCTCTTCTCTTAGCATATCAATTAACTTTAAAAAATGTATTTTATTGGTTTTTCAATATTTGTTTATAACTAATTAAAATTCTCCTTCAAGTAACACTATATTGCTTCATAGATGGAGCATATGCCTTATATCAGAATACTTCCAATTCCTTCCTCTAGTTTCTTATTCCATTGCTTTCATTCATTTCACTTATCTACATGCTATATTACTCAATATGTTTTTAATATTATTATTTTTAAATTATCTTTCAAAACAATTATAAATAAGGAAAAAAAACTATACCTTTTCTGATTCCTTCTTTATTCACTTCCTTTATTTATGTGGATTTGAATTTCTCACCTATGTTTTCTTCCTTCTCCCTAAAGAATTTTTAACATTTCCTGCTGGTAAGATCTATTATGAATTGCCTAAGTTTTTGGTGAGATGAGAAAGTCTTTATTTTTTCTTGTGTTTTTGAGTAATAATTTTACCGAATATAAACTGTTTTTTATCTTCAATGTTTCAAATATTTTACTGCACTCTCTTCCTTTTGTGTGTTTTGATAAGTTCTCTGTAGTTCTCATTCTTCTTTTAGAGATTATGTTTTTTGTGTGTTTTCAAGATTTTTTTCTTTGTCTTTAATTTCCTGCATTTTGAATATGATATGCCTGCTTCCTGTATTTGTCATTTAGTGTTAGTCATTAATTTAGGGAGGTTATTTACAATGTAACATCAGATATTTTTGTGCTCCTTTTTGTCTTTCTTCTACTTCTCTTATTCCAATTAATCACATGGTGTATTATGCCTTTGAAATTGTCCCACTTTTCTTGGGTGCTCAATTTTTAATAGATTTTTTTCTGTTAAATATTCTCACTCTTTATGTTTAAGTGTGTAGGGTTTCTCTTGACCTATCTTTGAGGTTAGTGATTCTCACTTAAGCTGTGCCTGCACTTCAGATGAGCTCATTAAAAACAGACATTCTTCATTCCTGTTATAGTGTTATGAATTTCCTGCATGTCCTTTTTGCTAATTTTTAGAATGTCCATCTCTCTTCTTACACTGCTTGCAATGTTTTATTTTGTTTTCCATATCGTTCACTTTCTCCATTAGCGCCCTTAGAATATTAATCATGATTATTTTACATTCACAAACTGATAATTTCAAAATCTCTCTCATATATGATTCTGTTTCTCATACTTTCTTTGTCTCTTCAACTTGCATTCTTTTTCTATCTTTTAGCATGGTTTATAATTTTTTGTTGTTGTTGAAAACCAGACATAATGTGTACAGTTATAGGAACTGAGGTAAATAGGTCTTCAGTTTAAAAAAGATGGGCCACATTTAAGTTTTGCCACTGTTGTACTTGCCAAAGTTTTCAAAGTTTTCTTGTATCCTGGTTCTTGTCCTCATTAATTCTAGGATTCCCTAAGGACTCCTTCTCAAACAGAGTTCGTGTTTTGTACCTTTTTCTATCTGTAACCCACTGTTGTCGTACTGGATGTCTGTTGGTGTGGAGGTAAGGTGTGGGGGTGGGGAAACTTTTTATGGTCTTATGATTGTACCTTAGTGGACCTATGTTTTAAGGTCATCAACTTTAAGAACATTTCTCTAGTTACATAGATATTTTTTAAAAATTCGTTTATTGAGACATGAAGTCAAAGAAGAACTGGAATGAGAGCAATGCCCTTCCTTTGGCTGGTTTAGGCTCTACCGAAGTCCTTTCAGCTGTGAGGGGGCACTGTTTATGGAGAATGCTCTGGGTGAATTTCACATGGTTTTTCGTTTCCACGCGTCCTGCCAGAATCAGGAGGGTTTATTTCTCCATGACATCTTCACCATGAGAACACAATGGGGCTTCTGGAGATAACACCCATAAATGAGTGAATTTTAAGACTGCAGCCTTCTGCCTCTGCAAGTTTTTCTTTCTCATGATAGTCCACATGCCCTTGAGAAATTCATCAAAATTACCATTTTACACTTCGTACCAGTTTATGGCTCCAGACGCTTCTGCTCCAGTTAAGTAGGCATCTGCTGGAGTCTCTGGATTTGCCTGCCCAATACTTGGTGGTGCAAGATTTCCCCACATCCACATCCCACTGATGCATCAAAGAATAGTTGCTAATTAACAGTTTGTTTCATTTTTTCTTGTTGTAAGGAGGGGAGTGATAACTTCTAAGTTTTTTATATACCAGAGCTGAAACCAGAGTTCAGAATAGCTTGTTTTTAACTTTTTAAATCAATAAATAAAAATTGTGTATATCTATGGTATACAACATGATGTTTTGAAATATGTATACATTGTGGAATAGCTAAATCAAGCTAATTAGCATATGTATTACCTCACATATTTGTGGTGAGAAAGCAAAATCTTTTTAAGCAATTATTAAGTATACAATATATTGTTATTAACTATAGTCACCACTTTGAACATAAGGTCTATAGGACTTAGTCCTCTTGTTTAACTGAAATTTTTAATCATTTTACCAACATTTCCCAACCCCACACCCCGAATAGCTTATTTCCCATTTTTTTTCATCGTTTTCCTTTTTGACTTACTTCCATTAGGACTCATTGTGTAATAGAAGGGTATGTGACTACACGCATTTTTTCAACAACGCTCCCTGCAGATTCTAAATGGCAGTCTTAATGTGAAGGAAATACATATCATCAGAGGGAATTTCTAAAAATAGTACCTGGGATTTATGCAGCATGTTACTATTTACAGATCACTCCCATGAATATTCACATAGTTCTGTCCTCCGAGCCATTCAGGCCTCAGGATAACTGCTTCTCCTGGAGCCCAGGGCCTCTTTCCAGGGATGCTGCTATGTGTTCTGATTGTTTGACTCTTTTGGCCGTTTTTGGCCTTCGGAGAAGCAGCACACATCAAGACACAAAATATGGCTTCCGATGCAGTGCCATGCAGCTAGATGATGTCATCTGGAAATGCATAAAAACTCTGAATTTTGGAAAGTGTAAAACAGGGGAAGTCTAGCAGACAATTTTCCTTTCCTTCCTTCCCCAAGGCCTGCCCCAAGATGCACTCTGTCTGTGCAGTTTATTTAGAGACATCAGCGGGGGTGGAGGGGCAAGCACAAACACCTGCTGAGTGACAAGCTGTGTCTCTCTACATCCCTGTGAAGTGTGGCCAGCAGGTAACAGCGCAACTTCAATTGCATTCTGACCTTTCCTGCCTCATTTTTCTATCTCTCATTAAGAGCATCCCAGGATTGCATTTCCAAATTATGGTATCAGCAATTAACACCTATTTGCCTCAGACTCTGCTTTTTCTCAGGAACTCAGTTTCTTTCTTGTTTTGTTGTTGTTGTTGTTGACATGGAGTCTCAGGAGTCTCACTCTGTTACCCAGGCTGGAGTGCAGTGGCATGATCTCAATTCACCGCAATGTCTGCCTCCCAGGTTCAAGCAATTCTCCTGCCTCTGGCACCTGAGTAGCTGGGATTACAGGTACCCACGACCAGGCCCAGCTAATTTCTGTATTTTGTAGTGGAGATGGGATTTCACCATGTTGGCCAGGCTGGTCTTGAACTCCCGACCATAAGTGATCCACCCATCCTGGGCTTCCAAAGTGCTGGGATTACAGGTGTGAGCCACTGCACCCGGCCCAAGAACTTGGTTTAAGAAAGCCATCAGGGAGTTGAATAGTGGTAGATTGCTAGATCTCTGCCAAAAACCAGCAGTAATGCAGGGCAGGAAAGCTCCTTTGACATTTTGATTTCTGTCCCTTGTTATATTTGTTCAAATCTTGTGCAACCCATTCGCCCTTATTCTTTGAAATTTTCAATCCTAGTTCTGTGTTCTCTATTAATACTTCTATAGTGACCTTGTGAAATTTTAATGTCCATAACATGCTCTCTCTAAAATCCTAGCCTTAACCTCCTTTCTGCCAGTGCTGTTTCTTCCCATGGGGCTTCAGCCATTCTGTCCCATGATCTCAGCACAGACCTTTCGAGAGTAGAAACTTCAGCTTCTTTGAAACTTCATTGTAAATGTCCTGCTGTTCCAGCTTCATGCACCTGAGTCTGGACACTGTTCTTTATCTCCTGAACCTGTAATTCACTGTTGCTACCAATTTTTCACTGTCCCTCCTTATCTCTACTTTCTTGTCCTCATTGTCTCTTTAGTCAGATTAAGTGCCACAATGTATCATTATCCACCATTTCCTTTCATGAAATCTCAACCCTTCTTTGCCTCTGCTTCAACTGCAGCCTTGGTTCCATCCAAAGAGCCACCTCCTTCATTCACAGAGCCACAGAGTTGGGGAGAGATTTATGGCCACAATTTATTAGACTGACTTTTGGACATGATGCCTACTATGGGTTGGCTCTGTGTCCCCACCCAAATCTCATCTGGAGTTGTAATCCTCACGTGTTGAGGAGGGAGCTGGTGGGAGGTGATAGGCTCATGGAGACATTTTCCCCCATGCCGTTCTCATGATAGTGAGTGAGTTCTCATGAGAGCCGATAGTTTTCAAGTGTGACATTTCCTAACTCTCTCTCCTCCTATCACCATGTAAGATGTGCCTTGCTTCTCCTTCACCTTCTGCCATGATTAGGACTTTCCTGAGGCCTCCCCAGCCATGTGGAACTGTGAGTCAATTAAATCTCTTTTCTTCATAAATTGCCCAGTCTCAGGCAATTATTTATAGGACTGTGAAAATGAACCTATAAAATGCCTCACGCCAAGTGTGCTCTTCAAGACAGTCCAGTTCGCTGATGTCCTCATTCTTCTGCTGTCTTTGATCACCATTTTCTGAAAATCACCATAAGTTGATTTTAAACTGATCTATTTGGAATCTTTAGAAATTCACATTAAAAATATCATTTATTGAAGAATTTTAATTAGAAAGTTAGCAAGGTTTCGAATCATAGATTTTAATGTTTTAAACATGAACTTGACCTACTCTCGCCTGTTGCCATAATTTTCCTTCAACTTGATCCCATTATCCTCTAAAGCTAACACACCGTGAGTGTTTCCTGTGCTTGGCTAAGTCCTGTTTGAAATATATTTCCAATAGCATTAAAAGAGCCCCTTGAGCAGCTTAATTTTCTGATTCTTAGATGAGGGCATTCTATGTCACAAGCAGTGAGAATTAACAATCAAAGTTGTATAGAATAATTGTTCCAAAGATTTTAATTTTCGTATGTGCAATGCAAATGGAAAGATCTAATTCCATAACCACAAGAGACACAGCTTATGCACTGTCACAAGAATAAAACGCATGGAAGCAAAGTTTCTAAAAATGTGTCAATATTCACATGTTCCTGAAGCCCAGCACGTGGCTGTCACTGTCAGCTGGAGTGTGTTCCGCGGTTCCCTGTACATTCAAGCAGAATGGGTCTGATGGGCGCTGCAAAGTGCCATCTGACCACTTGGCTGGTTTGGGCTGCTCATGGCTGCTTCATGTTTACATACCTGCTATCAAGTATCTGCTGCACAGAAAGATTGATTTCAAAGTAAAAAAGCATTTTGCAATGCCGTGTATCACACAACTTACTCCCAAATATAACTTTAAAAATACTTTTAGGTAGATTCCGCTCAGCCTTTTTATTGAGGTTGTGTTGTCATTGTGAACAGCAGTGATTTCTTTTCTTTACTTACTATAAGTAAAGCATCAAAGCTAGCTATGGAATTAATTTTCAACTTTTCCTTTTACTTCTCTTTCTTTACTGACTCCCCAGGCACATCATAATTCCTTCTTCTAATCAAGACCCTTCCTGGAACCATTCTGAGACTTAACTGGGAGGCACATCCTATACCCAAAAGAGAATGGGGGCCAAGCGCATTGGCTCACGCCTGTAATCCCAACAGTTTGGGAGGCCGAGGGGTTTGTGAATCATGAGGTCAAGAGTTCGAGACCAGCCTGGAAAACATGGTGAAAACCTATCTCCACTAAAGATACAAAAAAAAAAAAAAAAGAAAGAAAGAAAGAAAGAAAAAATTATCCAGGTGCTGTGGTGCGTGCCTGTAGTCCCAGCTACTCAGGAGGCTGAGGCAGGAGAGTTGCTTAAACCAAGGAGACAGAGGTTGCAGTGAGCAGAGATCATGTCCCTGTACTCCAGCCTGGACGACAGAGTGATACTCCGTCTCAAAAAAAGAAAAAAACGAGAGAGAGAGAGAGAATAGGATTGGAGTTAGATTATCTGGGCAGATTCTCATCCTGTCTCTACCACAAGTGGCCATGTGACTTTGGAGAGTTACAATGTCTCTGATAGTTTTCTATAAAGTAAATATACTAGCATCGCCTTGTTAATTTTTTTGCAAGGGTTAATTGAAATAATTAGTATAAAAGTGCTATGTATTAACTATTATCGTCTGCATTCATTTGTGATTGATAATTGCCCCAAATATTTTCCTTAATCAGAAAGATTTTCGTTTTATGTGAAACCAAATATTTAGACTGAAAGGATGAAGCACTGAAATTACGGGGGTGTGGATGTAACTGTCATAGAGTGGGGACTGGGAAGTTTGTATTATGCATATTTACAGGGAGAAAAGCAGCATTCCACAGCCCTCCTAGGTAGGTCCTAAGACTGAGTGGGCCCAAGAAGACCCAGATCAAGGAACAAAAGGAGTCCATCCCAGGCTCTCAGGTGTGTATTTTCTTGTTGAATTATCTTTCCCTGGGTTCTGTTTTGTACCTGACATTTTCCATGTCACCAACGTGTTCTGATTGAAACGGAATGCTAGGTTTGCCCATCCTGGAGTGATGGCAGAGAGCCCACGTGTTGCCTGGGTGGTTCCTAGGTTTCAATATCGTTGCAGGAGAGTCGTGTTCAGTTTCAAAGGCATGAAACACTGGGTTGGAGCACACCCAGGGTTAATTTGAGAGATGTTCCAGAGTGCTCTTTTTTTTCTTGCCTTTTTAACCTAAGTAGATTCTTATTACAATATTATAGTGTGCCTTTGAGGCAGCATTTTAGGACAGTAGAAGAAATTACAGTCTCCTCTCCTGCTCTTTCAAATAGCAGTTGGTAGGGAAAGGTTTCTATGTGTCCACAGCTACAGAGAAGTCATATAGCCACTGTAGAGAGGCCCACCCCTTTTTATGGCTGCATAGTATTTCATCATATATATATATATGATGTGTGTGTGTGTATATATGTACACACACAGACACACATGTATGTATCTATATATATATATATACCATTTACAGCATCCTGAATGGAACTGGAGACTATTTTTCTACTTACTCGTACGTGGGAGCTAAGCTACGTGGATGCAAAGGTGTAAGAATGATACAATAGACTTCAGGTGCTCGTGGGAAAGGGTGGGAGGGGTGAAGGATAGAAGACTGCAAGTTCATTGTATACCACTCGGGTCACGGGTGCACCAAAATCTCACAAATCACCTCTAAAGAACTTGCTCATGTAACCAAATACCACCTGTTCTCCCAAAACCTATGGAAATAATTTTTTTAATACATAGGCCTGCTCCCAGCCACCGTGCATTCTGAAGAGACTGCTCTCTGAAGTTCTGGCCCAGGCCGAGATCTGCTTGCCGGGCAGCCTCCCCTGTAAGAAGGAAGCATTCTGAGTCTCCCAAAATTCCAACCACTTATAGAAGAATAGCCCTGTGGTGTTCTAGGAGTCACATCAGTTTCCCAAATGCACGTTTAAACTACATATGTAAAGCTAAAGAAGAACGTGAAGAATACAGGTAATCAAACTGTGCTGCATATGGGATTTATAGTAAATGAGCATATTTTAGCTGCCTTTGCCACAGAAACAAACAAAAAAAAAAAGGTGGGTGATCATGTGGGGTTACGGATATGTTAATTTGCTTTACTATAGTAACCTGTTTACTATCCATAGCTATTTCATAATATTATGTTGCATACCCCTAAATATACACAACAAAATTTATTTACAAAAAGAAGAATGTAAAGAATGCTTCCAAAATACACACCCTTCCTTTGCTATGTGAATTGGGGGTGAGTGTGCACGGTGGCTATAGGCAGTGGGATGGCAGCACTTACAGTTGCTAATGTTGAAACAAAGGTGATGCCTGAGCTGAAACTCAGTGTTGTAAATGATTAAAAATACGTATTATTGCTTAATTATGTAATAGCATTATTTTGAGAGCGTTCGTATAGCTTGTTTGTTAGAGGAAACTCTCCACTTGGGGGATTGCAAAGTCTTAGAAAGGCCCACTGCTTGTGGTTCTTGACCACACGCGTCCAAGGTACCACAAAACACCCAACAGGCCTTGGTCATGTCACCAAAGCTTACAGGTAATTAGGAAGTGTAGTAGAGGAAGGAAGTAGGAAATCATTGCTTAAGAAATAAGCCATTCTCTGAGTGTGTGAGTGCTGGAGGAGGAGGGAAGTAAACTATGAAAAGAACATTGTGGCTAATTGTCACTAAAATCTGAAGAGTATGAAAACTTGCCAAGAAATGTATCAGTGATAGAATCGGTGATAGAACCAGGAGAGGAGGGTGTGAGGACTGGCTGTTAATAACACATTTCTTTCAGTCCTGCAAAACCAGAATAAAATACTACCTCACCCCTGTTAAAATGGCTCTATTATCCCAAAGTCAAAAGATAACAAGTGAGGATGTAGAGAAAATGGAACCTCATTGATGGGAAAGTAAACTGAGACCACCATTATGGAGGTTCCTCAAAACATTAGAATAGCACTACCATATGACCCAGCAGTCCCAGGCCTGGGTCTACATCCAACGCAGATGAAATTAGCACCTCAAAGAGATACCTGCACTCTCAGGTTTTCTGTAGCAGTATTCGTAAAAGCCAAAATATGGAAACCACCTAAGTTCCTGTCAACAGACGAACGGATAAAGAAAATATGATACACACTCTGTAATACTCTTCAGCCTCAAAAAGAAGAAAATCTTGCCATTTGGAATAGCATGCAGTAACCTGAAGCCCATCATGCTGAGTGGAATAAACCAGACACAGGAAGATCTCCTAGGTGGAATCTAGAAACATCAGACTCCAGGAATTTGAGACTAGTCTGGGGAACGTGATAAAAAGCCGTTTCTATACAATAAAAATTAAAAATTAAAAAATTAGCTGGGCATGAGGGCACTTGCCTATAGTTCCAGCTACTTGGAAGGCTGAGGTAAAAGGATCACCTGAGCCCAGGGAGGTGAGGGCTACGGTGAGCCTTGTTTGTGCCACTGCAGGTGAGGGCTACGGTGAGCCCTGGTTGTGCCCCTGCATGTGAGGGCTACAGTGAGCCGTGTTTGTGCCACTGCAGGTGACGGCTACGGTGAGCCATGGTTGTGCCACTGCAGGTGAGGGCTACGGTGAGCCCTGGTTGTGCCCCTGCATGTGAGGGCTACGGTGAGCCGTGATTGTGCCACTGCAGGTGAGGGCTACGGTGAGCCCTGGTTGTGCCCCTGCATGTGAGGGCTACGGTGAGCCGTGATTGTGCCACTGCAGGTGAGGGCTACGGTGAGCCCCGGTTGTGCACCTGCAGGTGAGGGCTATGGTGAGCCGTGATTGTGCCACTGCAGGTAAGGGCTACCGTGAGCCCTGGTTGTGCCACTGCAGGTGAGGGTTACAGTGAGCCCTGGTTGTGCGCCTGCAGGTGAGGGCTACGGTGAGCCGTGATTGTGCCACTGCAGGTGAGGGCTACTGTTAGCCCTGGTTGTGCCACTGTAGGTGAGGGCTGCGGTGAGCCGTGATTGTGCCACTGCATGTGAGGGCTACGGTGAGCCGTGATTTTGCCACTGCAGGTGAGGGCTATGGTGAGCCGTGATTTTGCCACTGCAGGTGAGGGCTATGGTGAGCCGTGATTTTGCCACTGCAGGTGAGGGCTATGGTGAGCTGTGATTGCGCCACTGCACTGCTTCCTGGGAGACAGAGTGAGACCCTATCTCAACAGCAACAAAAATGTTGAACTTATAGAAACAGAGAATAGAATGCTCATTGCCGGAGGCTGGGGAAGTGGGGTGATGGAAAGAGTGGGAAAATGTTGGTCAGAGAGTATAAAATGCTTCAGTTATAAGCTAAATATATTCTGAGGATCTCATGTACAGTGTAGGGACTACAGTTAGTAATACTTTATTGTATAAATGAAAGTACTAAGAAAGTGGATCTTAACTGTTCTCACCATGCATAAAAAATGGTAACTCTGTGAGGTGGTGGACATGTTAGTTAGCTTTATTGTCATAATAATTTCACAAGGTATATGTATACCAAAACAACATGTTTTACACCTTAAATATATACACTTTTTATTTGTCCATTATTTCGTAGTAAGGCTGAAAACAGAGTTTCTTTCTAACTTCGCAACCTTGTCGTCTCCTTTCCCACTGTAAAACACGAAATCAGTTTCTCTGGCTTTGAGTTTTAGTGTTCAGGCACACACCTTAAATGTTATGAAATAATCCCTTGATTTCTCAGCATGCATTTAAATGCATAAGCATGTGTGTGAATATATGTTTGGGGAGTTCAGGATACCATGGGCCAATCACTGAACTAGCTTCTTAGAAGACAAAAAGGATCACGTCCTGCTTGCCTTCAAGACACCTAATGAAGGGAGCAGATACTGATATGTTGACCCTCAGTTTCCCGAGAGAGTAGTTAGGCGTGACTTCAGTGGGACTGTGGATGAGGGATTTTCTAATTTTTCCTTGAAGGATAAGAAATGATGCCACATCAAAGGTGATCTGTTGGTCCCAAGAACTTAGAATGCCTTAGATGGGGGAATGAGTTTAGAGAAAGATAACAGTTCATGCCCACATTTGGCGGCATGAAAGAGAAGGAAGCGTATTTGATTCCATCTACCTTTGTAAGTTTCCAAGAATGAAAATATTCCACTTATTTTCTCAGTCTTACTAATCCCTACCATGAGTGAAATGATTTTGACAAAGGAAATGGATACTTGATTTTCTCTCCTGTTGTTGGCGTACATTAGCACAAATTCAAATTCCACAAATAAGAGGAGGGGCCCTTACTTGTCCTGGTGTAAAATGGATACATACAGAAAAATATAAATCTCTCAGCTTTCATCAAATAGTGTTTTGTGATTGTTCTTTACTTGATTCTTCCACTTTAAGAAAATGTTATAAATAAATGAAATGTGGAGTTTATAAAATGTATCGCTTAATCTATATTTTTAAAACATAGGAATGTAGGAACATTGTACATGAATTGTTTTAACTGTTAAATTGTGTTTTTAGCTCCCCTGGTTCTGTGTTTTCTTTCTGTCCCTATACTTCTCTTTTCTTTCCCATGTTTATAGCTCTCTCCTTGCTTCCCTTCGCCTCTTTTCTCTTTCTCTGCCCTCCCCTCTCCTCTCTATCCCTGTCTTCTACTTTCTTTTCCTTTCCGATCATGCCTGAACAGTTCAGCCAGAAACCATACAATAGGGCCGAGCAAATCCAGTATCCATTTCATAGGAAAAAATGCACTAAAAATATTAAGTGTGAACGGACCAGGGTCTGTAATCTCAAGAAGGAAAATGAGTAAATAATTAAGTAGATTGAACCAAATGAAATGGCTTACTACTCTGACATCATTCTAAAAAGAATGATGGTACAAAAGGAAAGATAGACACTAAAAATCATACAAGCATGATGAGAGCTGTGGAGGTGGCATTTAAGCTCTCATGAAGGCACTGATCATGGGAACTAAAGTTGCCCAGGGAAGTTGTCAGGGAAGCCTCCTCCAAGGACCTGTGTTTTAAACTAACAGATGAGGTGAGCCTGTCAGCTGGTCAGATGATGACTGAGTGACATTGCAGGCAAAGTGAATATCAATGCCTAGGCTCTGCGGCTGTGAACATAGTAAACAGTGTGCTTAAAGTATGACAAGAAGTATGCTTTACCTGGGGTGGAGTGAGCAGGGAAGAGAGCTGCATGGGGTGAGGACAGAGAGGAATCCCACACCTCCATCTCACTAATTAAGAGCTTGCACATTAAGAAAATTGGATCGTATCTTTAAACAGTTTGGAAAGACTTTTATTCTTTTTTTTAATTCTTAGTTTATCTGCCATACTTTCAGCTTTTATATAGTTGAAAACATTTTCTTTGGCGATCATACCCTTATAATCCCCTCTTTCTCCATAATAATCATCATGAGTGTCCCCACCAGCTCCTCTTCTGTACAGTATGCCAAAAAGATGTCAGTTTGTAAGTTTTCTTGGCTACAATTTGCATTTCTGTGTCTATGTGCTTAAAACGACATCACCCCAATCAGGTACTCCCTGTCTCCCTTACACCAACGCTTTCTGTTCCATAAAGTGTATTTCACCTTCTAGCATCCTATAAAATTTATTTATTTAATATGTTCACTGTTTATTTCGCCAAGTCAAATGTAAAATCGACAAAAGTCACTTAATTTTATCTTCCTTACACACATTAATGTATATATCCCTAGAACCTGCAATCGTGCCTGGTATAGTAAGTAGGTACTCACTAAATATTGTTAAATGAGTGAATGGATACCATCTCCGAGATATAGTTTCACTTCAGCCCTCTCTTATGATCTTCAATCCCACATCTCCAACAACTTACTGGATATTACGATTTCAGTGATGAAATTCTACGTGCCTAATACATTATCCCTATAAATCAACTTATCTTCCATTATGCAATATGTCAGTAAACACCATTACCATCTGCCCAACTATTCAGTCTGGAAATCTTACAATCTGGACTCCATCTTCTTTCTAACTGGCACCACGCAGTCACATCCTGTTGGCTTTTTCTCCCCTGCGTCTCCCACAGCCACAGCCATGTGTTCATTCCAACCTTCACTGTTCTAGTTGAGGACATCATCATTTCTTGACTAACAACTTTCCATAACAATTTCAGTCATCCTGATGGAGCTGATACAAAACCCTAATATCATCTGACCTCACTTTCTACCACATCAACACGTACTTTATTTTTTATTTTTATTTTTTTTGAGACAGAGTCTCACTCTGTCACCCAGGCTGGAGTGCAGCGGCAAGTTCTTGGCTCACGGCAACCTCTGCCTCCCGGGTTCAAGCGATTCTCCTGCCTGAGCTTCCCGAGGAACTGGGATTACAGGTGCATGCAACCAGGCCCAGCTAATTTTTTTTTTTTTTTTTTTTTTTGGTATTTTTGGTAGAGACGGCCTTTCACAATATTAGCCAGGGTGATCTCGAACTCCTGACCTGGTGATCCACCCACCTCGGCCTCCCAAAGTGCTGGGATTACAGGTGTGAGCCACCATGCCTGCCATCAACAGGTACTTTTTAAAAGGCAAAGTTGAATAGGTCACTCTGGTATGTGTGCCCCTCTATATGTGTATTGGTTGGAGAAGCCTGCTATCACAAAACGCTATAGGCTGGGTGGCTTAAACAACAGAAACATATTTTCTCATAGTTCTTGAGATTGACAGGCCAAGATCAAGGCACCGGCATGGTTGGGTTCTCTGAGAGCTCTCTTCCTGGTTTGCAGATGGCTGTCTTATTGCTATGTCCTCATATGGCCTTTCCTTGGTAAGTGTACAGGGGGAAAGGAGAGAGAGAGAGCGCAAGCGAGCATACCCTAGCTCTCTGGTGTCACTCCTTCAAAGGACATTCATCTCATAGGATCAGGGCCCACCCGTATGACTCCTTTTAAGCTTACTTATTTCTTAGAGGTCCCCATCTCCAAATACAGCCACACTGAGGGCCAGGGCTTCAACATATAAATTTAATGGGTGGGGGACAAAAACATTCTGTCCACAACAACAAGTTTATGATGGGTTGCCACATGGGTGGCACTGTTGATTTTAGGAAAAGCAGCTTCTACACGATGGTGGAGGCAAAGTTTAGATTCTGTGGAGTTGAGGTGTAGTAGGTAAAGGAATGGTGAATAAATGTGGACAGCATTTCCAGAGCTTTACCTCAGAAAGGGAGTCATGGCAAAGGATGAGAGACAGACCGTGAGGCAGGTAAGATCCAGATGAGTCTTCAGAGGTTGGAAGAGGGATTTGGATATTTTTTAGGCCATCGGTGCTACTGAGAAAAAAAGTAGAGAAGCCACACTTATGGGATAACTCATCCCCCATCCCATCCTGTCCTCCAACTCACACTTGCCGACAGGAGAGGTGTGCACTGGACAGGACCTGGTAGAGTACAAGATGGTACCTACGCTATTGAGATGCAAGAACACTTGGCAAGCTTGTATAGCCACAGATCATTGCTTTCATCACCTGCCATGAGCACCTGAAGCCAAAATATAAAAATTCAATGTCTGTCCATGTACATAGAAAATCAAGTCCGGATAGGATATGGCACTATATCAATAACTCTCTAACTTCCGCTTGACATTTCCACACTGGCTAGCTCTTTACTTTTTGATCTTAAGATTGAAATTTCCTTATAGCCTACCATGAGCTGGATTTCCTTGTTTCCTCCGCCATTGTCCTTGCATACTGTTTTACAATGATTTAGTCATATTTAATTTAGACAGTTTTGGGGGAGAAATGCCTCTTGCCCTTCAGCCCTCCTTTCAGGGGCTAACTAGTGAATGAAAATAATTTAATCAGCTCAGAGCTCCTTATGAGAAACAGAGATAATCAGCCTTTAAACGCTAATGCAATGTGATGCTTGTAATCCTCATAATTCTTTAATCACTGCTTGTTAGGACAGTATTTAACAAGATACTTCTTCACAAAACATGGGTGGAGGCATTGAACCTATTGGTAGATGCTTTGTCCTCAGAGGAAGTATTTCCTGATTCAAATAAATGACAATTGTAATCTCCTTAGAAAATGTCTGTCTTTATGATAGATTGTTACTAAAATATTTGTTCTGATGATACATTAATTGAAAAATCAATCTTCTTCTTCTTCTTCTTCTTCTTCTTCTTTTTCTCCTCCTCCTCCTCCGTCTTCTCCTTCTCCTTTTCCTTCTCCTTCTCCTTCTTCTTCTTCTTCCTTTGAGACAGGGTTTCCCTCTGTCTCCCAGGCTGGAGTGCAGTGGCACAATCTCAGCTCACTGCAGCCTCCACCTGCCATGTTAAAGCCATCCTCCCACCTCAGCCTCCCAAGTAGCTGGGACTATAGGCAAGCACCACCATGCCCAGCTAATTTTTGTATTTTTCCATAGAGGCAGAGTTTCACCATGGTGGACAGACTGGTTTCGAACTCCTGACCTCAAGTGATTTGCTCGCCTTGGCCTCCTAAAGTTCTGAGTTTACAGGCATGAGCTACCACTCTCGGCCACATTTCTTCTTCAACATTTTGTGGGCCTGGGGCAGCCATGGTAGCTCAGTCCATTTGTCTGAAGCCTTTGAGTGCTACTCAAAATAGTCTGTCCCAGAAGGCAGCGTCCTATGTGAGGAAACACAGAGTGCCTCTCACCAGTTCAGATAGTACAGATAGCTGTTGCTGTAGTATTGAAACAATAATTCACTAACTGTGTTTCCAAGCTCGAAATCTCAGAGCAATCTTTGCAGCACTTCAACTCCTATATAGAAAGATTTGCTTCCACTATGCCACAGTTCAGCCAGTGCAATTTAGAATCGTTAAAATGTGCAGCCCTGCTAATCAGAGCTTATCATGAAAACACCATCACAGCCTTCACAATAGATGGGCTGTTAGCACCACTATAATTCTCTGAATTCTGTGGTGCCTGGGCATATTTCATCAGGCTGTCCAGTTAATCCTCCCACAAAGAAGTGAGACTGTCATACTCACTAGAATCAGCTCTGTTAGAGGCTATAAAACTATAAGAAAAAGTGCTTGTAAATGGTTTGAGTGTATAAATTATGAATGCCAGTAATTAAATTAGAAATTACAAAAGGAAAGGATTTGGCCCAGTCTGCTTGGTGATGCAGAGCCTTTGCTGAGGATTTTGGAACACCTTTCCAGAATTTGCTTGTTTTGTGAATTTAATATTTATTATTCTGTGAGGGTCACGTAACATACCTTTTATTTATTTGGGCAGAAATTAATATACAAAGGTAAAATGAATCACACCAAAACATAATTGATGGAAATAAACCAGCTTTTAAATAAGATGATAGGTCACAAGGCATCCCATGATAAATAAGTCAGCAGTATGTACTGCCTGTTGTTTGTTTTCAGAAGTTAGTAGCCTTTTTAAAGGACTTTACAAAACCATCCAAGCCTTTGGTCCTTGAGGAGCCTTCTTTGGCTAAAAGCCAAGCATATTTATATAGCCTATTGCTATTAAGATAATTATAATGTAGGAACCAAAATATATCTTCAATTTCAGAATCAAGAGACACGGATTATAATGAACATGCTGTTATTAAATTGCTGAGTCACCTTAAATAGCATTTCATAACCTGAAACATTTTACTTCTACAGGAATGAATTAACTTATCTTTAAAATGACAGAGGGACCTCTCACCTAATATCACCTTGTTTTGTTTATATACCTGTTCTCATAATATACCTTATGGATATACAAACAAAACACAAGATTCTACATTTTTTCAACCTTTTTTACAGTATAATTTATTGTCAGGGTGCTTGAATGTGTTTGAGCTTCATATATTTGAAACATGTAACTTTATTAAGGTACGATTTTAAAATTTTATGTATTACTTGCAGTATCTCTATCTCTTTGCTTCATGATTGTAACACATGCTCTTGTGTGGTAGTTTAACATATATTTACTGAAGATGCACATTAATATTGATAAATGGTAGTATTATTTCAGTCTTACAATATGCTGAACCTTTTCCTGCACCTTATCTTATTATTTTAAAGAACTGTATATAAGAAATACTACTATACTAATTTTACTGACAATAATATAAAAACTTAGAAAAAATATGCGTTTGCAAATCTTACAAAGCTATTAAGTAAATAGAAACAAATGTAAAGACTTATCCCAGAATCTGAATGCCGCTAACATTTGTTAACTGATACTTAATTCCAGTATAGGGATCTTATAATCTAAATAGGACTACAGAAGTGAACAAGACATCAATATAATAAAGATTACCAAATAGGGAGTGTATTATGCATATATGAAAATAATTTGAGTTTAATACCTTAATAAAGTAATATGATAAAATTCACAACTAGGACAAATATTTTGCTAAGACACTGCATTTCAGTCTAGATAATAGGAGCACCTTTGCAAATCCACGTTATGCACTGCATAAAATAAAATGCAAAATAATAATTATGGTAGTAGATACTGAGTCTAGTTGTAAGTCATTCAAAATGGACTTGTCAAGACCTTCCCAGATAGAAGATGAACTGACTCACAAAACAGTGGTAATTGAGATCAGCCTGTCATAATGCTCTAGGTTAGAGGGAGCAGAATGTGAGGAACATGGCAGAGTAGACCCAGCAGCAAGGGCAGTGATAGAATGCGGAAGAAGGCAATGAGAAGTGTTCAAACAGCAACTATCAGAAAGAAGTGGAAGAGGGGCAGGAGAGAGGAGCTTTCCCAAGCGCTGATAATAACAGCGCTAGAGGGGGAACAGACCAGTTGTACCTCCACAACTCTCCACTGTGCTGTGGGATGTACTGATACCAAGAGTTCCTCTCTCTATACCCCAGGTTTAGCCGAGGGTTTACTATACCTTGGTTATGGCTCCACTGGCTTTTTTGGTCCTTTTAAATAGGTAAATAAATAAAGTAAATGCAAATAGTGTGATTCAACAGAGCTTTGCTACTTAGAATATTCATGTGGAATCCAGCATTGTACAATGGTAAAAGGATTTAGATCCTGGAAATTATTTTCAGCTAACTGCAGGATTACGAAGAGTGTAAACCGCTATGAATACTTCAATTTGTCTAAAGTGTGAGTCATTAGGAAAGGCAGACTACTTAACTTTTTTCACTTTTAAAAATACATTTAATAATATTGTGTTTATATTTTATAATAGCATGTGTAGGACAGTACTTGAAATAGCATGAAGTTCGAAAGCAGCGCAAAAGGGCATAGATTCAAAAAGACCCCAAAGCTGTCTTCTGCTATTTACTAACTCTGGTTAATGGAGAAGCCTTGCATTTTATTATAATACTTTTAAATTAAATCTTCTTTCCCACGATACAGAAACAAAGCCAAAATAGCGTAACAGAGCTGACATGGAGCCTAAATAATATAGTATAATTGAAAGGTGTCTCAAACTATAGCATGCAGTTACTATTCTAAAAAACTTGGTAACATTTTTCCTCTCCTGTGTCAATCTCATTTTTGTGGAGTTGCCATGGCTTAACTTTTCGTTGAGAACTAAAATACTCAATTTCACCTTTACATTAGAGTTTCATTTTCGAAGTAATATTTGTAAGTTGATAAAAGATGATAAAACTTTAGAAAAAAATAATCACACTTGAAAAAATTGTATAATGTTCAAGCAAATAAGCCAAAAGGTCCTTGCCTTAATTAAGGAATTCAGCTAAGAATTATTTGAAATTTAGTCATGAAGTCTTTGCCCATGCCTATATCCTGAATGGTATTGCCTCGGTTTTCTTCTAGGGTTTTTTTTTTTTTTTTTTTTGACTAGCGTTACATGTCAATGTCAGTATGAGAGTGATATCCTATGAGGACTGCATATCCATTCTATTTATACGGGAATGCTTGAATATTGCTCATGTTGTTTAAGAGAAAGATGTTTTATTTAGACTGCTGGTAGCTGTCACACTATGCAAACTGGAACCAACTGTTTCGGTTACATGACAGCTAAGGCATGAAACAAATCAACAGGTGAAGTTTGAGTTGGGGAGGATGTGACTGTCTTGAGGCTTTCTTTGTACTTTAAAGTTGCTCTTTGTTAACTCACCTTTAAAGCAGGATCTGTATGCCTTTAGTGTGCTTTAATTCATCGACTAATTTCCTAAGATGGAAACTACAACAAGTAATAATTTTCAAAGAAAAAGATTTTCTGGTTGCATGTTTGTCGTCCAGTGAGTTAGTCTTGTCTTTACTTTCAAACACAGCATTATTGATCAATTCTTTCGTTGTTTCAGGAAATACCAGAGACCTATAAAATACATAATATTCTGGGATTCATCATTAATGGTTCAGTTTTTCTCCAGAAAGTTGTAGCCTCAAAATCTAATCCGAAGGTCAAAAACATGATGCTATAGGAATAAGTCTTGCACATTGAAGAAAGGCCTATTTATATTTGATGTTTTGTCCTAATCTGAGATCCCTATCCTAAGAACAATTTTTTTTTTGCTTTTATGCATTTTGTTCAAGGCAAATGACCTCATGCAAGGATCATGTTCTGTCAGAGATTTGCAGTTCATGCCAGTGCAGGAAGTAAAAGAAATTTGGAGGTGGATCTAGATATTAATCCCAGCTCTGTTCACTTACTATGTACAGTCTGGGGTATGTGCCATGATTTTTAAGTGTAAAGAAAGAATAATAATACCTAAATATAACATTAATTGTAATGAAAGTATATATAAATTGACTATCCAAAAAGCACCAAATAAACCATAAAGCATATGAGAAAGAGAGTAAAACACATATAAGCCCCCACAATTATTTCTTTTCGCCTTCTAAACTTTTTGACTGTGTCCAAGATGGTCTGCAAGTTACCACTGGGAATTTAAAAATGAAGTCTAGTTTTCTGCCTCATTGTCTAAGTATACAAATTTGTAAATGTGAAAACAATGTTTTAAGCTAATGTGAAAAAATTGCAAATATGTCATTTACTGGAAGGAAAATTCACAATGAGGAATCAGGGATGAGTTTATTAAGGAGGTGGCATTTGATCCTGGCCATAATGCACTGGTAGGCTGTTGAAAAATAGAATTTAATTTTAAGGCTGACATAATAATGACATTGACTAAATACAAAAATTAGAATTTGAGAAGTTGTATGGGAACAGAGGGTAATGCATAGATGAGGAATTGAGTACATGTAAAAAGAAAAAAAAAGGAGAGAGAGAGAGAGAGAAACATAGTGGGGAAGGTAGTTGGGGGTTAGGGAATACGGAATCCTGATCAAAGTGCCGCTTTAATCTGGGGAAGGGCAATCTAACTAGCAGAAATCCAGTAGACTTCTCCTGCACAGTTTCAACCCAGGAGCCTTGTGTGTGCTATTTCCTCTGTTTTTACTGTTCTTCCTTCCCATCTATCTTCATATGCGTGTTCCACCGTAGCTATCTTTAAGCTTTCAAGCCACTTTCTCCATGAAACCTTACTTAATGTCCCCTGTGACAAACTCTCTTCCTCTCAGTCCATATTTTGACATGTGTGTTTACAAATCAGGACATAACCAGGTAGAAAATGAGGCCATATACCCCAACTAAATCTTGTCTTTTCTTTTTTTGTTTTTAAATGTTCCATTTTTAGTTTTTATTGCTACCTAATAGGTGCATATATTTAAGGGTTACATGAGATATTTTGACACAGGCATGCAATATGTAGTATTCACATCAGGCTGAATGGGGTATCCATCACATCAAGCATTTATGCATTGTGTCACAAACATCACAACTAAAGGAGTAGGTCACTAACATACTTCTTTAGTTATTTTAAAGTGTGCAACTAAATTATTATTGACTCTGTTGTGCTGTCAAATACTGTCTTACTCATTCTTTCTAACTGCTTTTTGTACCCATTAATCATCCCCAGTGTCCCCCTCCCCTCACCTCCCCAGTACCCTTCCCAGCCTCTGGTAACACTGAGGTTGTCATCACAAAAGCCCAGCATAGCAAAGTGACATGCACAGAAGATTCTCAGAAAATATCTGAGACTCCAGTTGTTTACTGAAGAAAGTGTGGATGTCTTCCAAATCTACTTGTCCTTCATGCATGAGCTTAGAGCTTATGCATGCCTCTCAGATACTTTATGAATCTAGTATCACCAAACACAGAAAGGTCAGTATTTCTTCATGATCAACTACCCTAAACACCATACTCACTAACTATGAGAGAGCTAGATAATAGAATTTCCAGGTTCCTTCCAGTTGTAAAAGTCCACATTTTATTATATGCAGGAATATCAGGTACCTGACGAATTTGAAAAATAATTGTTTTAATTGCTTTTAGATTTAAGATACTGTCTTCATCATACATGTTTCTTTTTGGTTTAATCGCAGTAATGATTAGTCATTTACATTTTATATCAGTGCAATAAAATATTTAAGCTTCTAAAATGCCAGTCATCCAAAAACCGCGTGGGCATAAGGATAAATTCTTAGCAAAACCTGTATTATAGTGGTTTTCTAAATAATTTATTTCACAATCCTCATATTCCCCATTGACAGTTAAAATCCAGGATTAAGCTAGCCACTCAACCAATGAATAAACACACTGTCTTGAAATAAGGACAAAATGAAAGTTAATAGAAAACATAGTTGTTATATTCACTTATGAACGAATCAGTTTCTAATTAATACTCTAAGTAAATTGAGGGTTGGCTGCAGGTGTCTCATTTACCTTCCCTAAGTATTAATTTTATGTATTTTCTTTGTGTCTGACTATCTGTTAGATTATATGATTTGACTTGTAGTTTGAAATTAAAGTTTAGTTATATGTTTCCAGCAGTATGACCAATTCAATATCTGAACAAAGTTCTCACTTTAAAACAAAAGTTTAACATAAAAAATAAAAATCTATTAAATGTCTCATTTAACTTAAAGAAAATAGAAAATCCTCAGGGGTGGGAAAAAAAAGAAAACAAAGTTAAAGGAAAGCTTTAGATCATTAAGAAAAGACTGAAGCTACTTCGTACTGGACTATGTGCTAAAGACCAGAGAGCTACAGCTCAGGTGTTCATGGCTCAGCCAGGTAGCTCATCAAGGTGGGAGTCTGACACAGGATCCCCAAAGACAGGACACTAAGAGCCTGCACTCGAATATAGGATGATCTAATCAAACAAAGAACTAAACACACACAGATGCAAGCACACACACATGTATAGGCATGTACACATGCACACACACACATGTGTGCACACACAGCAAGGCACACATGTAGACACAAGTGCATATGCACACAAGTGCACACACACATACATGCACACACATGCATACACACACGCATACACAGACACACACAGTAGTGTAGGTCAATAAGGATATCTGCTGTGTCATTACTGGTATTGGAGAAATGGGAAAGATATCTCCCCTCAGAATCTGTAACTACAGCTGCCCTCCCACGTCCGCCTTTGCATTACCTGCATTTCCTGAGAGGCCTCAAGCCCTGACTTATTTTAGAGCAAACCTTGCTTGATAATGGCACCGTAGTTTATCCTAGAGCTTTTTTTTTTAACACTGGCCTCAAATAATTCCCAAAGATGAAGCTTAAAAAATAGTAATAATTATAAGTATTATTTTTATGATTGTATTATTCTGTTATAATAATAATCCCAAAACCAATAAAATAAGGGATGATGGCAAGGATCAGTCAGACTACGAGTAGCAGGGCAGGCTGATAATGTGCAAATGTTTACATTCTAGGCATGCATTTAAATAAATATTTTGAAAAGAGAAGAATAAAGTTCTTTAACAATGCTGTTTTAAAGGAATAAATAAAATTTGTGGAGATAAAAATACAGGGCTGGGTGCAGTGGCTCACACCTGTAATCCCAGCACTATAGGAGGCCAAGGCAGGCGGATCACTTGAGGTCAGGAGTTCGAGACCAGCTTGGTCCACATGGTGAAACCCCATCTCTACTAAAAACACAAAAAGTAGCCTGGTGTGGTGGCAGCCGCCTGTAATCTCAGCTACTTGGGAGGCTGAGGCAGAAGAATCGTTTGAACCCAAGAGGCAGAGATTACACGGAGCCGAGATCACGCCATTGCATTCCAAGCCTGAGCAAAGAAGACTCTGTCTAAAAAAAAAAAAGAAAAGAAAAGAAAAGAAAAAAATTACGGTAGCTTAAATGAAACTACAGTGACTGGGTTCAACAGCCAATTAGGCACTATTGGCGAGAAATAGTTGAAGACAGTTATCATGAGGTCAATCAAAGCATCAAGATGACAGGCAGAATTATGAAATTGGAGAATATAAAACATAATTTGTTCATGATATCATGTTAGAAAAATACATTTTTAATTCAGACATAAAACTTCAGAAATAAGTTCCAAAGACGTTAAAATTAACAACTTATCTTCATCAAAATCTTCAGTAAAAAAGTAAAAAGTGAAGTCCCATAATTGGGAGAGTTATTTATCAAACATATAATTTACAAAAAGATTTAGAGCCTGGAATTTTTAAGTCTTAGAAAATAGTAAGAAAATGTCAATATTCCATTAGAAAAAAAAAAGAATGGAAGACTTGAAGGAAAATCTCATGAAGAGATTTGCAACCTGACTCGTTTTTAAGGAACTGCAAATTAAATCTTCAATAAAAAAACTTTTACCAGGACTGAATTTCTAAAAATTCTAAAGATGGACAATTTTAGGTGTTGGCAAGGAAGTAGTGTTCTTGGAACTTTTGTATACTTCTTGTGGTTAAAAAAAGATAGTCACTTTGGAAATGCACCCAGAAAAATAACTGGGATTGTCTGTTGTATTACTCCATTCTCACAATGTTATAGAGAACTACCTGAGACTGGGTGATTTATGAAGGAAAGAGGTTTATTTGACTCACAGCTCCACAGGCTATACAGGAAGCAATGCTGGGCGGCCTCAGGAAACTTACAATCATGGCCGAAGGTGAAGGGGAAGTGAGCACATCTTACCATGGTGGAGCAAGAGAAAGAGAAAGACAGCAGGGGGAAGAGCCACAGATTTATCAAACAACCATACCTTGTGAGAACAGCAAGGAGGATGTCTGTCCCCATGATTCAATCACCTCCCAGCAGGCCCCTCCTCCATTGTGAATTACAATTCAGCATGAGATTTTGGTGGGGACACAGAGCCAAACCATATCATCTGTTAAAACTGAACATGTGTACACGCTATAACTCATCAAGCTAGCGATAGAGCCCAGACAGTCATATGTTCCAGAAGATATGTGCAAACATACCTACAGTTGCAAATGCTTAAAAGCAAAATGGTAGAAAAAATGCACTGGTTCACCACCAATGTAAATGATACATGAAGTATAAAATATATAATTCAATTGAAAAATGTAAAAATATTTTATAGGCAATAATACAGGTAAATGACTAGAATGAGAAATTGAGTGAAAAAAGGCAACTTCTATAAAACATACAGTATTATTTCAAAACCAGAATGATTCAGAGGGCTTGTTTGTGAATAGATTATTCAGAATAGCAAAGGCATAGAAACCAGAAGATGTGGTGCTGACAGCTAACCCAGTAGTAGCTAAGCTGTTGCTATCCCTAGGCTGAAGGGGGAGGAGAGAAAGAATAGAGTCATCACTGGAACTGGAAGAAAGGAGACAGATAGTGGAGGCTGCCTTGAGAGATGTAGTTACTTTCAGTCCAGCGACACAGGCAGCAGAACAGAGGGGGAATCAGCAATACAAGCAACCTGCCTTAAATGCACTTACCCTCTCTTATCTTTTCATGGTGGTGCCAATCCATGGAAAACAACTCAAAGCCCCAGGGGCAGAAGGACCTGTGAAAGGATTCCCCAAAGGTCAGTTTCCTGAAGCAGGAAGCAGATGAGCAGTAGAGAACAATTTGAGGGGTAAAAGAAAGATGTGTGGCAGCATTTTAAATATTCATTTGTATAAATATTCTAAATTAATTTTACTCTTGCAAAGGAAAGGAGAAAGAACAACTGGCTGAGCCTTTGAATATTAAGGAGGTGAAGCAATGAATAAACAGCTAGAAGAAATCACAAAGACAAGGGGGCAGGAGGAGGTCACAGAGGGAGAAAGGTGCACGTGGAAGTTGTTTTCTGAGGAGCTAATTACAGTCATTTGGCTTCACTTTTCCTTGGTCATTTCCACGAAGCGTTCTCACATTTTAAGAACTCTTTATTTCTCTTGTTCTCATTTTCATGTCAAACTATTTTATCTGAACAAATGTGTTACTGCTAGAAATACACCTCATAGATTTCGACATACTTATCTTTTCAAAATCTGTTGCTCCTTGCAGAACATCAGAAACTAGGTTAATAGTATATTTCTCTGTAGGAGCAGCTCATGGTAATTTTACTGTGAGTCAGCTGAATCAACTATTTTTATAGAGGTCTTGAAGGTATTCAAATTTTATTCTCTTATGCTCCAGGAGGTATATATGGAGTTGCAAAGATTACTTTGGCACACTGACATCAGGATTTAGATTATCCACCTGTATTTAGGATGTTCATTGTTACTTTATATTTGATGAAGACAAGGAAAAAAAGGAAAGATCATTCCTTCTTCTTTTTTTTTTTCTTTGAGGCAGAGTCTCGCTCTGTCACCCAGGCTGGAGTGCAATGGCATGGTATCAGCTCACTGCAACCTCTTCCTCTTGGGTTGAAGCAATTCTCTCACCTCAGCCTCCCCAGTAGCTGGGACTACAGCACCCACCACCACACCCAGCTAATTTTTGTATTTTTAGTAGAGATGGGGTTTTGTCATGTTGGTCAAGCTGGTCTCAAACCCCTGACCTCAGGTGATCCAGTCCCCTCGGCCTCCCAAAGTACTGGGATTACAGGCATGCATTTCTTTATTTAAAAAAAAGGTAGACTTTATTTGTTAATTTTTGTTCATAGCAAAATTGAAAGCAGGATGCAGACAGCACATATATATCCCCTGCCCCCATTCAGACACAGCCTACCCCATTATCAACATCTTCTCCCAAAGTGGTGCATTTGTTGTAATAGATGAACGTAAATTGATATATCGTTACCACCCAGAGTACCTAGTTTACATTAGGATTTACACTTGGTGTTGTATGTTCTATGAGAATGGAAAAATGTGTAATGATGTGCGTCCACCAATTATTTATCCTAGTGTGCTGTGGCACAGAAACTATGCATATGGAGCAGCTTTGCTACCTTACAGATCCTTACAAATCCTCTGTTCTGTGCCTGTTTATGCCTCCCTCCTCCCTCACTCCTGGAAACCACCAGTATTTTTACTGTCCCCATTGTTTTACCGTTTCTAGAAAGTCATGTTGTTGGAATCATACAGTGTATAGCTTTCTCAGGTTGTCTTCTTTCACTTGGGAATATGTATTTAAGGTTCTTCCATGTCTTTTCATGGCTCGAAAGCTCATTTCTTTTTAGTGCCGGATAATGTTCCATTGTCTAGATGTACCACAGTACATCCATTCACCCCCTGAAGACATGTTTGTTGCTCCCAGGCTTTGGCAATTATGAACAAAGCTGCAACAAACATCTGTGGCCAGGTTTTTACGTGGGCATAAGTTTTCAACTCCTTTGGTTAAATAACGGTGAGCACGATTGCTGGGTTGCACGGTGAGAGTATGTTTCCCAGTTTGGAAGACTGTCAAACTTCCAAAGTGGATGAAGCATTTTGCATTTTACCAGGAACAATGCATGAGCTTTCTGCTGCTCCACACCCTCACCAGCATTTGATGCTATCGTTATTCTGGATTTTGGTCATTCTCCCAGGTGTGTGTGGTGGCACGTCGTTGCTCATTCAATTTGTATCTCATTGATGACATGTAACGTGGAGCATCTTCTCATATGCTTACTTGTCATCTGCATATCTTCTGTGGGAAAGTGTCTATTAAGTTTTTTGGCTGGTTTTTAAATTGGATTGTTTGTGTTCTTAATGCTGAATTGTTAAAGTTCTTTATATATTTTGGATAACGGTCCTCTACCAAATGTGTCTCACAAATATTTACTCCTGGTCTGTGGCTTACCTTCTCATTTCTTGACACTGCCTTTCAAAGTACAGAAATTTTAAATTTTAGTATAGTCCAATTTGTGATTGTTCCTTTCATGGGTTGTGTCTGGTGTTGAATCTAAAAGGCCATTGCCATACCCAAGGTCATCTAGAATTTTCTCCTAGGTTCTATTCTAGGAGTTTTATAGTTTCCCATTTTACATTTAGGTATATGATTCGTTGGAGACAATTTTTTGAAGGGTAGTGTCTATGCCTACGTTCATTTCTTAAAATGCGGCTGAGCAGTTGTTCTAGCACCATTTATTGATAAGGCTGTCTTTTCTCCATTGTACTGTCTTTGCTTCTTTGTCAAATATCACTTGAATATATTTACATGAGTCTACTTCTGGGCTATGTATTTTGTTCCACTGTTCTATTTATGTATTTTTCAGATATATTTGTCTATTCAATAAAGACAAGAACACCACATTGCCTTGGGTATTGTAGCTTCACGGTAAGTCATTCAGTTGGGTAATGTTAGCCTCCAACTTTGTTTTTCTCTGGCAATATTGTTGGCTTTTCTGGGCCATTTTCCTGTCCATATAAACTTTTGAGTCACCTTCTTGATAATCCCCCAATAAAAGCTCACTGAAATCTGCTTTATTTTTAAATGTCAAATATATTCCAAGTAGCGGATTTATGCACTAAAATATACTAGATCTGACAATGTACTAAACATTTATGCTAAAATCTTATATGAATGAGTACAATTGCTTTATTTATACACGTAGAAAACTGACTGACTAAAGATGTTTTGCAGAATGCCAATAGTTGATCTGAATAATATTTCCCAGAATGAAGCAGTGGACAATAAAATGTGAATTGCCTTTATCATGTCGTTGACTCACCTGGATGCCTGGGAGGGAGTTTGCTTTGTCACTTCAATGTACGCCCGAGGAGCAAAAGTCTGGGCCTCCTTGTGCTGTATGGGGGTCAGCACCATGCCCTCCACTCAGTACTTTTCCCACAAGTGTAACTTACCCACTTCCTGCAAACTGCCTTACAGGATAGATCACACATAGTGAGTAAGTTAAGGACAAAGGAAAGAAGAGAGAAAAGAAGAAAAGAAGGATGGAAGGAAGAATAAAGGAAAAAAGAAAAACACAAATGCATTGAAAAAATCATTATTATAAAAAATGAGATTCAAACAAACTCTAGTTTACATATCTTGCTCAGTCTTGGTTGCATTTTTATTTTAGTTGAAGAAATATTTTTAAGTGACAACTACTTTATTTTGTGACGGAGCTAGCTATGAAGATAAAAAAGTCTGTAAATTTCTATCACTGCAGACACAGCATTAAAAGAGTCCATTAACAAGGATTTAAAATAATAGTGAAATTTTATCATAAAGAAAAGAGAAGAGAAATCTAAACATCTAAAATATATATAGCAATAACAAAGAGACATGATGTTAAATAAAAGGCTGTGCAATTATTTCATTTCATCTCAACTTTTACTCTATATATTTTAAAAGAGGTCTTTTAGAATTATTTGCTGTGCATTTTTATTATAGATCTCTCCTGTGCTTTATCAAATGGAAAACATGACTGACACCCACAGTTACTATTAACACTTTTTCAGATTCATAGTTCTACTTGTTCAACTCAAGTCCAGTTATTCTTCAATTCAAGACAATCTACTCTTTCTCTCTCTCTTTTTTTTCCCCCACATTACCCATCCTTTGCCATTTCCTGAGCATTTGTAGTGCTCCTGCATTTCTGAAGAGTGCTGAATTACTGACTCCAAGATTTCCTCATAAGCAGTTGACACTTGTATTTACATGATTTTCCCAGATAGCATCATTGGAAGGCATGTAGGTAATCCACTTATTATATTCCTTCCTAAAATGATCATTAAACTATCGACTAAAACATGTAGTTTTCCAGCCATATGACAAGAATGGCAAGTAATTTCACTCATGTGCACGCAATGACAACTATGCCCATACTGCTACGTGGTTGACCGGGTTAATAAGATGCATATAGATTTCAGAGAAACTAATAAAGAAATAAAAAAGTACGTTTTACACATGACTTAAAGTGGCAATGAAAAGCCAGTCTAACTGTAAGACTTGCCAGCCAAATAAGGCTTATTTTGTGGTAGTAATGCAGTCAAACTTAAAGAATAATTATCAAACATTTATGTGCTTATTACGACACAGCAACATCGTAAATGCTTTGCCTAGCGTCAGCTTGTAACCCAGCTTACAATCATGTCTTAGTGCCTGGCCTGGTTTAGAATGTCCTCAGGATTTCGCAATGTTAAATGAAGTATGATATTTATAGTTGAATTAGAATGGCTTTAACAAGACTTCATTTTATGTTTCCAGCCTCAGAGGTAGATAATTACTTTGAGAAGGCTTGACCCAAAGATGACTATCTAACCCAAGCAACTGCATCGGGGGTACCGAGCCAGCACTTCAGAAAGCGCAACATTTCATTCAGATCAAAAGATTGTTCTTCTAAATTAAGGTTCATTTTGGAAGCTATGTTTTCTTGTGCATATAAAAAACAATATTAAAGTCACCGCTGCTAATACGTTGACTCCATTCACAGAAGAGCTTCACAAACAAACAGTAATTTCATATCAGGTCATTTCAATAGTTTTCCTCTTTTTCATCCAATTCACTGAACAAAATGATTGTTTTGCATTTCTTTCCGTCGAATGTAAAAACATTTTAAATGTTAACATACATCATTTTAAATGTTAACATAAATTTATGTTAACATCAATAAGTTTTAAAATTTAGCAATAAAAATTACATTATTTTTGTGGTAGACAAAAATTTAAAATTTAGCGGAGTAAACAAAACTACAAAATTTGCAGTAAACAAAAATATCAAATTCTTCCTAAAATAAGACACTTATGAAATAGAAATATGTTTGAATTGCTTGGGTGACATACACAATTCATACTTTCCTCCAAATAGCTGAAATATATTTACTGAGACTGAAAACTTTGGCATTCAGTGTAGCAAAAGAAGGGCATCCTTTAAAATACAGTTTCTGTTTGTTGAGTGGGTGACTGTGCGGTTGTATGATGGGAGGCTGAACCTTGAGTTTTTGTTGCCTACAAAGAATAAACAGCTTCCCATTTATATGTATTTCATTATTTATTATTTATTGTGATCCCAATTGAGTCCAAGGTAATAAGTGAAATAGTCTCCACCACATTTTAAGTTTCTAAGGCAGCACCATCGGAAGTTAGCTACTGCCTTTTTAAAAGACAAGGTTCTGACACCAGGAGATTTCTATTTCTCCATCCATCATTTTCATGATTTAGAGTCAATGAAGTCCTGACTGGGCTGGTTCTGCTCTCCCAGTGGGTGGGTGAGACCCCCCTAGACCCCTGTCCACAGTGCACCAGATGTTCTCCCAGCTGTCTTCACTTCCCCAGGGAGGCCAGACAGGCATCCCAGAACAGAGCCGCCAGGCTGCCAAAGAGCACCAGGAACTGCGGAAGGATGTAGTTGACGCTGATGAACTGTGCTGGCGTCCGCACCCTCTAGTTCATCCTCAGTACCCACCAGAAGCACCCCCAACAAATTTGCGGCAAAAGCTGAAGTGTCTTTCCCCTCCAGAAATTTCATGATGAGGAAGAACAACAAGAGGAAGTCTGGTGCAAAGATGAGGTGACCCAGGAGGAGGCCCCTGAGCCCTGCTCAGGGAGATATATATATATCCTCTCTTTGTTTTGTTCTTCATGGGCTCTCTATGAGAAACAATACTTTCTGAAAGATCTACATTTCTGGTTCCTGGATGTATTTTTCCAACCCAGGCGATGAACCATAATCAGACTCCAGGTGGAAGAGAAGCACATCTATCTTTTGAGAAGTGGCAGGGAAGGCAATGTAAAGGGGGATGTTGGGAGAAAGAATTGGCAAACTGCAGTCACAGCTCAGAGGGAGAATGTTAAGAAAGGGAACATATGCAAATAGGGGATTTGGAAACTGCTTCCCCTAAACTCTCCATCCCGCACACCCAAGAGAGACTTTGTGCACCTCAGTGTGTAGAAGCACTCCACTTCCATGATTCAATTTTGAGATGAAACAAAGTTGAAATTGGTGAGGAGCTTAGCAATGTTACCCCAGTGGGTTTCCTCGAGTGGCATTACCTTAATATGGTAACTGAATTTCAAGGAATTTTCTTGGTATGTTAAGGTATGCCAATAAATTATCTTCAGCCTTGAGATTTGGAAATTTTATAATTCATTTTGTCCCAAGATCATTTAGTATTAGAGTTTAAACTGGCATAACCAAATAAGCAAAGTTTAAGGCTAATACGCTAACGTTGTGACTTAATTGATATTGACAATAGTAATATGAAGCATCGACTTCTATTCACTGTTGAAATCTCTTTTTATAGGGGCTTACTGTAATGCACATTATAATCAGGATCGGTTGGTGATCACAAAATCATATCAAAGTGTCTTAGCAGGATGGTCCTATTAGGCAATGTCATTAGACTGTAATACATGAACACAACACTCTTTAATACGGGAATTTGTATACTTGCCACACACAATGGCTAGCACATTTGTCCCAAATAGTGCTAGGGACACGCTCAGCAGGCTTGCTTCTCACTTTCCTTTTGTCAGTTCCTTGAGACTATATCCTTTAATAATGTATTATTTCAAAATACAGAGTATATTGCACATACACATGAGCTTTTCTGCTAAAACATCAAAATCTAGCTTCTTTAGTTTGAATTTAAGTACATATAAAACAATACCTTGGTTAAGTTTTAGCGATCCCCGATCTCATTCTTTATATTGATTATATTTAATTTTATTCAGAGAGAAAATGTAATTTTAACTATACTACTATTGCTTTTGCAGCTTCAAGGACAAGTATAGCACCATCTAAATAAAATAAGAGTCCAGCACTAAACAGCATGCACCATGAATGTAAGATAGATAATAAAATATTTAAAACTTTGTAGCATTCTCAGCTGTTCTAGTTGTATTGCCTTTTGTCTGCTTCCTACAGAGTTTAGCATTAGAAACTTTAACATAAAATCTCTACATATATGTAGAGTTATCTCTGGGGTTAGTAAGAAAGTAAAGCTGGAAGCCAGAGAGCCCAGGACATTAAATTCCATTTTCAAGCCATGAAAGAGAAACCTTTAAAGGTCAAGGGCAAAATCTCACTGAATTCTGCCTATTCATGGAGCTGTCCTTGTTGAGAATGTACAGCACATCAAACATAGTTTACTAGAAGGGTATTATATTAAAAATGATGAGCGTTTTGTTTTGCTATGAGAACATGTGCTTTAGATGACACTTTTATACATATTGAAATTAGTTTATTTTGTATAAGAAAATATCTTCATTATCACACATGCTGAATTCATATGTTAGCTCCAGATTTTCCCTTGAGTGACAAAAATTTGAAAAGAGATAGTTATACAAAGCAGACCATACAAAACAGACTGTATAACACACATATCTTGAAGGTGATGAAAATGTTCTAAAATTAGATGGTGATGAGGGTCACATAATTCTGTAAATTTAGTAAAAATTATTGAATTATACACTTAAAGAGGTGAATTTTATGGCACATATACCTCTATAAAGCTGTTAAATACACACACAGACACACACACACACATACACGTGTGCAAAACACATCAACATTTCAGGATTCATTCAGTCTTAAGAGTAACAATAGCAAGGAGCAATACCAGTCCAGAGAGCACCGTTTAGACAGAGTAGCACTGGATACATAACAGGCACACAATGCATTTCTACTGCATGTGAACAAATGAGAGGAAAAGATAGATTGTTGGTAAGTTTAACTTCATCAGTATCTCGATTTTAAGAAATTGAAAAAATGATTGATTTCTGAAGAGTTACAGGTTCCTGGATAAGAATCAACAGTGAAAAACATATTAAGCCACTGTAATTAATTAATTTCACAAATGCTCAATGTAAATCTGGAAATGTCACTCAACATTTCCTAAGAATAATTTGGAAATCTCCCTTTTTACTTTTTGCCCTCTTTCTCTGCTCACACACACTTATCCTTAAATCTATAGAAGATGGTTTGTATACATAAGTTGATACATTTGCAGATCTTCCACGAGACGGAGAAAATCTGCGAAGTTAAAAAAAAGTTCTTAATAAGCAAAAGAGTAAAGCAAAACCACTTCTATGAACATATACTATATGAGAAGTAAATTATTTTAGAAATGAATTAAAGCAAAGAGTAGGAGAAAACAAAAGTCTTGTGTTGGCACTTCTGTAATCAACCCTTTACATATCATAAAATAATATACTCTACAATTCCGTCTTCCGCATTTCTCATATGTGGAATTGAGTGAGGGTGGAAAGAGATCCTTAGGTTAGAAAACAGCCATATAGCGACAGAAGGAGGGAAGAGTGGAAATTTATTTCTGCTGAGAGACTGCAAAGCAGAGATTGGCTGAAATTGCCGCAAAGGGGATTTAGATTAGACATTAAAAAGAACATTCTCTTATCAGGATTCTGAACCACCACACTGCATTGCCAAGAGAGCTAATAAAATTGTATGTTTTATAGTAAAGAAGGGGCACGAAGTAAATGATTTCTTAGACTCGTAGCACTTGAGATTTTAAGATTTGATCTCTTCATAGATGCATGCATGAGTTCAACAAGGACTTTACTGTTTTTTTTTCTTTTTCACTTGCCATCCATGCTCTATACTGATAATTTTGACTGGTGCTAATTTACCAGTCAGTTCTGATTATGTGGATTGCATTCTAAATACAGTTAAGCACAATTTATTCCTAGTAAATCACTCATTAGCATTAGCAAGATCGGCATTTACAACCTAATTACCTTTACTGGAGGCATAAAGTCCAGCTCTATTTGGGGTTTCAGTATTTTAAACCTTTAAAGGAAAAATAATTATATGTGCTTCGCATGGTGTCAGATATTCTTTATTCATTCATATATATATGTATATATATATATTCTTTTTGATAAAGCACAACTGAAATATCAAAAAAGCTTTACCTAGTGTTTAGTCATAATAATACTGTTGTGATATTTTATGAACCATTAATACACCTCCCTACTGAATTAACTGTGAGGTTGATGGCTGGTTTTCACCACTAGGATGCCAGATTATTGTCCCATAAAACAGTTCAACAAGACTGTTATTGGCAATATATACTGTCCTTGGAATCCATTTTAACTTGCATTTAAAAATAAGTTACAAGTGAAAACGATTACATACATACCTGAAAAAGAAACGTGCAAAAATATTAAATCTTCTGTATCCTGAAGTACAAGAGACTTTTAGAAAAATTTGAAGTGGATATTTGCAATTTTAAGCTTTTCTAATTTGCTAAGAAGGTAGCAATGCTAAGCACAGATCGCACCAAACTGCCTATGGCTGGGAGTTCATGCAGTAGATAAGATGTTACCGGTAAATGTCAGGACATTGTGTTACCATCTAACCATTTTATTTTACGTGCACACACACACACGCTCCCACTTTCACACACTCACACATACACAGATACACGTGCACACACGCTCTCACACACACACTAATTAACTATCATTTTATTTCTGATTTAGTAGAGTTCCTGAGCAGACGGAACACAGTTGACCACAATGCGCCATCTTTGTCCAATGTGTCTACTTCTCTTAGTATCAGCCTTGTTCCTCCTATGACAACCCCATCCCCTTCTCTTCATCTGCACAGCTTCTATTTCCACAAGATCTTAAGTAGGTAAATGGGCTAACTTTTCCAGAAATAAATGGGAAGTTGGGGATTTGGGCTTCTAAGTGCGTACGACTAACATTATTTGAATGCTGAACACGGAGCAATCATGGAGTTAGGTACTTTCTCTAAATGGCTTTATTTAATACTCACTGCCGTGCTGTGAGAGAGGTAAAATCATTGTCATACTCTCCATTTTATGAAAGCAAAAATGGGGAGGGAAGAAGTAAAGTAACTTCCCAAGATCCCACCTCTCTTAAATGGTATAGATGGGGTTTGGATCCAGCAGGAGCCTAGACATCAGCGGCTCCTGGTGAAGTGGTGGAGTCTCCCCTGTCCCCCATGTGGTTTATCTTTGTTTCCCTAGCACTTACATGTCAGTCAAAACTGACAAACTACCACCTGTTCTGCAGAAAATAGGGAAATGCTGCTAAGAAAGGCTGCTTTTATTACAGGTGTACTTTTCCATCCATCTAGGCATGGCTCATAGAACTGGAGAGGCTTCATTTTGGACGGTCTACTGGTAAAAAAAAAAAAAACAAGTTTTCCTGAATGGAAACTTCCCCCAGGCCTCTTCATCTTGGCCCGTGTATACGGGTGATGGAACGGCCTTAAGACCCTTGGTCTTTACGACTTGCATTCCTAGTGTATGGATTTTCAGTAACAACTTTGTCATTTTTAAAAATAGATACTCCTTCATAAATAGTTTAGATTCATGTTTTGCCTTTTTTTTTTTTTTTTTTTTTTTTTTTTTTGAGATGGAGTCTTGCTCTGTCACACAGGCTGGAGTGCAGTGGTTCAATCTCGGCTCACTGCAGCCTCTGCCTCCTGAGTTCAAGCAATTGTCCTGCCTCAGCCTCCCGAGTAGCTGGGATTACAGGCACCCGCCACCACACCCAGCTAGTTTTTGTATTTTTAGTAGAGATGGGGTTTCGGCATGTTGGCCAGGCTGGTGTCGAACTCCTGACAGGTGATCTGCCTGCCTCAGTCCCCCAAAGTGCTAGGATTATAGACGTGAGCCACTGCACCTGGCCTTTGCCCTTTTTAAAAAAAACAATTTAAACCCTATTTAATATTTAAAACATATGAGTATTTTGGAAATAGTTATTATTACTTACGTTTTATCAAGCTGTCACTCTATACCAGGCGCTGAGCTAAACAGGGAGTTCATAGGCATTATCACTTTAACCACATCTTTCCTCTCCCGGTAAGTCATTCTTATGCATCAGTATCAGTAAGTTTGGATAATGAGAGTGCCCCCTACATGGTGAATAAAGTCTTACACCTGGCCCTTTGGTTTTTACCACTGTGCCCCTCTTTCAGGATTAAGGTATCTTTGAAGAGCCTCACCTCCGGGTATACGGAAGTAAAATGGGCATAGCCCTTCCCAGATGCCTTGTACACGAGCTCTTATAATCATTGTGCACAGCCCCAAAAGATCTAAGTCCAAAAGTCTCCTCCCTGGAGATGCAAGTGCCTTCATCTCCAAACACCACGCCTTGGGAATAGCCACTGGAAAATGTCACGAAAGGGTGCCTTCTGTTTTGATAATTTAGCCCAAATATTTAACGTAAACCCTCCAGGATGGGAATGTAGACCTGAACACTGGCCATGCAGCCTATTAATTCTATAAGCCCTTGACTAATTTGAAAACAGGGCCAATGACATACAAACAGAAGAGATGTGTTTAGGGAAATATTCATAAACAGGGCTGGTACCAGAAAATTTACAGCAGAAATATTCCACATTACTATGACGATGCAATAGGCAGAACTATGGGTGAAATAAGTGGTAGCAAGGCGATTTTCCTCTTGGATAAAAATAAGCAAAAATATGACAAATGGCAAAGGATTGTTTATGTGACAATACCAAATATCATCCAGCTATCAGTGTGCAGATATGAGGTGTTTGCCACTAAGATGCCCAACTCAGCATGTCTTTACAGATGTACCAATTTCAGTTTAAGTGCTCCTGTGCTCCCAGTGCCACTGGCAATGTTATTCTTCCAACTGCCAGGAGTGCACCGTAATTGGGTTGTCAGTGGAGATTTTCTAACATACCGTTTTTCACTGGGATATTTACAATTTTATTAAGAGATTTGAAAGAATCAAACTAGCAATCTATAAATATTGATATGTTGAATTTTCTGACATTCTGTAGGTTCAAACTTTTCCCTTGAAATGTATCTTTTATTACATCTCAAAACCTAGCCTTCTCTTTTTGTTTGAGTCAGATTCTGAATTGAAATAAATATAAATTATAGAAAAGGCTGGGCATGGTAGCTTACGCCTGTAACTCCAGCAATTTGCGAGGCCGAGGCAGGCAGGTCACTTGAGCCCAGGGGTTCGAGACCAGCCTGGAAAACATGACAAAACCCCACCTCTATCAAAAAAAAATGCAAAAATTAGGCAGGCACGGTGGCATACATCTATAGTACCAGCTACTCTGGAGGCTGAGGTGGGTGGATCACCTGAGCCATGGAGGTCGAGGCTGCAATGAGCTATGATCCTGCCACTGCGCTCCAGCCTGGGCGACACAATGAGATCTTGTCTCAAAAAAAAAGAAAGAAGAAAGAAAAGAGTAACAATGGCATGTATCAAGCACAGTTCTGAGTACTTGACGTTGAATCTGTACAACCATCCTTTGAAGGTTTTATGCCTGTTTTACAGTTCATAACAGATAACATGACTGCGAAGTTCAACCAGCTAGTAAGGGGTGGAGCTGGGATTAAGTTTGGGCATTCTGGTTCTGCTTGATGGAGAGGGCTTTAGAGGACTTGAAGAGGTTTCCGTTGTAAATTTGATGGAAATTGCTGAAGAAGGAGAGGAAGCCAAGCCAGGCCGAAACTTAGGCAAACTCCCAGAGGCAGCTTCCACCTGACCCTACAGGGGACTCTGATATGTGACTTGTCCCAACCCAGCCCCAGTGAAGGGAGCTGGCCCTTCACACTCCATTGAAAACATTGAAAATCATTTTTTAACTTTTTATTTCAAGTTCGGGGATACAAGTGCAAGTTTGTTACACAGGTAAACTTGTGTCATGGGGGAGTGTGGGGCAGATTATTTGTCTTCTGTTTCCACTGTACCAATTAGAGATTGAACTCAGTTGCACGGGAACAGAGCTGTCCACAGCTTAAACACAGTGCTTTATTTGCATAACCTTATAACACCCGTGGAAGCAGGTAGTCCAGCTCTGAGGCTGTGGCCCTCCAATGTCTCTGGTGACACTCACCATCGAACGTGCACCTTTTCTCCTCTGCTCTGGCGTTTTCAGGGCTTCCCTTGGTCTTCATGGTCACCTCTGGGCTGTCCTGCCTCCAGCTCCCTGCATATACTCCAGGTAGGAGAAAGAATGATGCTTTGGAGAGAATCACTGCACTAGGAAGTAAACCTTCTTCTCCAATATCCAATAGGTTTCCTCTGATATACCATTCATTGGAACCATGTCCCAGGGCCACTTCCACCTAATAAGAAGCTGTGAAGTTTGGTTTTACAGTTCAGCATATTTCTACCCTCCCCTCATATAAAGAAGGACTTGGACTTTGGAAAAGTATCACTGCTTGGAGTCCCCAGAAGCAAACCCTGAAACAAGATTCCTGTGAAAGTGAACGATTGTGAAGAATTCCCAGGGAGGAATTAAAACAGTAGGGAAATGAAGAAGTGAGCCAGAAAAAGAGTGCTGGCCAGACATGGGTGTGCTCTCACCGGAAGTCAACAGAAGATAGCCTGGACTAAATCCTGGCGAGGAAATCTGGTGACAATTTGAATCATTGAAAAGGAAAATGGAATATTTATCTCTTGGCATCTGTCAATCATTGGGTAGAGGTTACTCTAGAGAGCAAAAATTCCCAGGCACCTCCCATTCCCCTTTGTGTACAGCAAAGTGAGCTCCAGCACTATGGGCTCGGATTCCAGCAAAGACACAGATGCTGGTCACTGTGAGTAAGACACACCCTGAGCCAATGAGGCTATTGTGCAGACTGATGATATTGTCCACTTAACAAGGCTGCTACCACTCTCTGCACACAAACCACATCCTCTCCCTCCAAAGGGCAGCGTAAGCACTTAGCATGACGTTCGATAAATCAATGCAAAAAGGTCCCATGACATCTCTAGTAGTATTTATTTTTATTACATTAATTCTGCACCTATCTTATCTCTCCAGTTAGAGTTGGCTCCTTTGAAGGCTAGTAAGTATGTATAAATCTCAATATGCCCCATAACCATATGCTTTAACTAGCTCCATAGAATCTTACCCCAAATGGCTCAAATATTTAAGTGGATGGAACAATAAATTCACCAGTCTAGGTGGGGAGTGGGCATGCACGCCTTCTCTAATTGCTTCAGGATTTATTTATTTATTTTTGTAGTTTCTTGCATCTTAAACTGTTTCTAGCTCTTTTCCAATTAAGTAGTTTCTCATCTTGATTTTAGCATGAGCATATATGAATGTCTCTTCCAATGATTCCTTCACTGTCAGATGCATTTCTTATGTTAATACCGTTAAAATCGTAATTACCACAGGATGTCGTACTACATTCATCCATTCTCTCTGCTAGTCTGTGTATCTGGAATTGTTGTAATAACTTTCTCTATCCTGGTTTTTTTTGTTGTTTTTTTTTTTTTTCTGCTACTAAAATTTCTAAATTTCCGACAAGACAAACTGGCATTCCAGATTGCCTGTTTTAGCTCTTTGAATTTCCGACATTTACACAGCCATTGCACATTCTCACTTTGCTTTTCTGACAATTTTCTGCCCTCGTATTAAATATAAAAAGTTGAATATTGCAAAAAACTTTTAAGGTCACCTGAACTAATTGCCTAGTTTTCAAATAGGAAGGTAAGATTAGGAAGTGGCTTAACCCAAGTAATACACAAAAGAATGAACAAGACATCGGTAGGTTCTAAGTTTACAGAGGCATGCTTTATAATTTGATAATTCAGTCGCTTTGTTTATGCAAAACGGCATTAAAATATTTGATGTGGATCATCTTTACCAATCTGAAACTGAAACTTTCCCTAAATTCATAACTTCAGATTTTGCCTAAAAGCAGCCCCCACTCCCTAATATTTTGATCTTATAAATTTTTCAGGCATTTTACCATTTTCTCTGAACTGGTTAAGCCATGGACTTGTGCTGTACAGAGTGAAAGTTACTTTTGTAGATGAAACTTTTATCTCAATCATATTAGAAGTGTTCACATAAAGGTAAGGTTTCAGCTAATTGCTTAAGAGCCACCACTCACAGCTCTATTCCTCCCTGCCTGCCACAATAGAAGTATAGTTTTTTTGTGGCCCGCAAGATATTTTATATCTCTTACTGTTTAGAAATCAACAGTTTTAGAATTTTGTACTTAGAAGTCAATAATTTTAGAATTCAGCCTGTCATTTATTTTCTGTGCAGGACACACATTTGCTTACCTCCTAGTACTTGGAATGAATCAGTCCCTCCATTTATATATGTATTTGTAATTAGAAGTTTCAAAATAAACTGAAGTAACATGGAGTTGGTACAGTAGGGATGTGTGAACCAACACGAATATATAGTCCTAGGGTAAGAACTCCAAACATTTGATAAATACATAACATTTTGTTTTATTAATAACTTGAGGCCAGGCATGGTGGCTCGCACCTGTAATTCCAGCACCTTGGGAGGTGGAGGTGGGTGGATCACTTGAAGCCAGGAGTTCAAGACCACTCTGGCCAACATGGTGAAACCCCGTCTCTACTAAAAATACAAAAATTAGCCAGGCATGGTGGCCCGTGTCTGTAATCTCAGCTACTCGGGAGGCTGAGGCAGGAGAATCGCTTGAATCTGGGGGGTCGGAGGTTGCTGAAATTGTACCACTGCACTCCAGTCTGGGTAACAGAGCAAAACTTGGACTCAGAAACAAACAGTTGACGTGTTCATAGTTTATGGACTATGGATTACGAAGGATATCATAAAACAGAAGTTTTGAAAGTTTAAAAAATTAATTTTTAAAATGTCTTTTCTATAGGATGATGAAACAGTGGAGTATAGTTGAAAAAACATAGCCTCTCATATCAGACAGATTTGGATGAAAAATCTACACCACTTTCTAGTTTGTGATTTTTAAAATGAATTGTGTGTGTATGTGTGTGTGTGCGCGTGTGTGTGTTTGTCTTTCTGGGTGCTTTCTTTCCTTACGTTTTAGCTTCCTAGTTTTAAATTAAAAGGAAAAAAGATTGACATTGTGTTTTAAATAAAAATAGATAAAATCAAAAACAACCGACATGTAATAAGTTGTCATTAAATATTAATCAGCTTCCTTCCAAAACAGTTCCCTTTGCTTATGCCATTTGTTTATTTTTATTTATTTAAAACATTTACTGCTGCAGGCTTTCACTAGGTGCTGGACCTGCAAAGATAAGACAATTTTTTTTTCTATTTTTCTCATGTATTTATCTACTGTTATGCCATTTTTCCATACCTATATTTTTAATGCCCCATTCAAATCAGCAACTCGATATTTTTTTAAATTATCTTTTGTGAGTCTAATTACAATACGAAGTCGTGATGAAGCAAGACACTTGAGCTGCACAAACAGCTTTCTAAGTGCTCCCTGCTTGATGAGCTGGTGCCTGTAGGAAATACTTCACTTCTAAAGATAGTGCCCGGCGGTCTCCAGGAGCAGGAAGTGGCACAGCTGAACCACTGAATTTCTGAGATTCTGCATGTGGTTGAGGAGTTCAAGAAAAATAAATGACAAATATATTAGAAATAATGTTAAATAAGCTTATATTAGTTCCACCAATACTGGTTTATTTCATAAATGCATTCAACCAAGATTTGAGACAAAATCAATTTTCTAGTTAACCCTTAGCTTGACAGGAAATTAATATAACTGTTACGTACTTTTCCAATTCTCATAAAAAGATTTTATATGTAGGGGTGTGTGCATGTGTGTGTGTGTATGTATGTATAAAGGTGGTTATTACTTTGATTTTACTCCAGGTGTTTTATATATATATACTTTAAGTTCTGGGATAGATGTGCAGAACGTGCAGGTTTGTTACATAGGTATACATGGGTCATGGTGGTTTGCTGCACCCATCAACCTGTCATCTAGGTTTTAAGCCCCTCATGCATTACATATTTGTCCTAATGCTTTCCCTCCCCTTGTCCCCCACCCCCTGACGGGCCCCTGTGTGTGATGTTCCCCTTGTGTCCATGTGTTCTCATTGTTCAACTCCCACTTATGAATGAGAACATGTGGTGTTTGGTTTTCTGTTCCTGTGTTATTTTTCTGAGAATGATGGTTTCTACCTTCATCCATGTCCCTGCAGAGGACATGAACTCATTTTTTTACGGCTGCATAATATTCCATGGTGTACATGTGCCACATTTTCTTTATCCAGTCTATCATTGATGGGCATTTGGGTTGGTTCCAAGTCTTTGCTATTATAAATAGTGCTGCAATAAACATATGTGTGGATGTGTCTTTACAGTGGAATTATTCATAGTCCTTTTGGTATATACCCAGTAATGGGATTGCTGGGTCACCAAAGGATATGAAAACACACTTGTCAAAAGAAGACATTTATGTGGCCAACAAGCATATGAAAAAAAGCTCATCATCACTGGTCCTGAGAGAAATGCAAATCAAAACCACAACCAGATATGATCTCATGCCAGTCAGAATGGCGATTATTAAGAAGTCAAGAAACAACACATGCTGGAGAGGCTGTGGAGAAATAGGAATGCTATTACACTGTTGGTGGGTGTGTAAATTAGTTCAACCATTGTGGAAGACAGTGTGGCGATTCCTCAAGGATCTGAAACCAGAAGTATTCCAGGTGTTTTTAACTCTATGTGAAAATTAACGCTGTGGAAATACTGAGATTGATGTTCTTGTAAAAAATAAATGTGTGTGTGGTTATGAAATGCAAACATAATTATTAACCTCCAGTTTTGACTCAGAATGATGCATATATAAAGCTATTTAATCAATTAAATTTGAAAGTTGAAGTCAGGCATAGTTTAGTGATTTTTTTGACAGTTTGCCCATTCTTAGGAGATGTTTTTGAGGCTTGACTTGGAGTCAAAATATCCATAGAATTCTGAAATTATTCATTCCCTAGATTACCTTAAGTATGTGTTTAACAATTTTACATATGTGTTTTTAGGAATTAATTTAAATAATAGGACAATCTAGAAATTCCCAAAACTAACATTTTAAAACCTGAAGAAGTGGCCTGGTAGGGCTTCCAGATAGAGCAGAGGTGACCAGTTAAATTGGAATTTCAGATAAACCGTATACACTTTTATTAGTATAAGTATATCCCAGATATTGCATGGGATACACTTACACAATTTTTTAAAATGTGGAATTCTAATTTAATTAAGTGTCCTGTAGAATAAAACAGTGAATTGAAGTCAATTATATCTAAGTTATTTTCTAGCTTCTGTTCTAAAGTTTCCCTTATGTTCAGAGGTATGTTTAATGGGTAAATGTCCTACAATGAGTTAGAAAACTTATTAGAGGGAAGCATAATTATTTAGTCTCCAGATCTTTTTTCCTAGGAACGAGGAGAGAGAATCCTCTCCTGTCCTAGCTGTTCTCTGCTAGAGAAGACTGGAGTTTCCTTCTGACGTTTTTTTTTTTCTATAATTTCTTTAGACTGCATCTGAAGTGTTTCTTCCAGAAATAATGGAGATAACACCCCTGACGATGTGTTCTCCAATTATCAATGACAGGATATCTGCTTAGAGGACATTAAATACGTGAAATCCTTATCTCTGTCGGGGTTGCTGCTTTTTTCACCTTTGAGGCCACGTCTCCAGGTGATAAGGGTAAATATACTTAAAAAGGTCAAGCAGGAATAAAAAGGGTGGAGGGCACAGGTTTAACTTCTGAATTATTCTGATATTTCTAACAGATGCCCAGGTTTTAAATGTCGAATAGTTTCCACTGTGTTTTGATATGCCGAATGGTTATCCAAGAGTTATTAATGCCATCTTTGCAGACTGGTCTCTACTGAATGATGGATGTGAACTGGTGTGTGGTGTGATAAGCATGATTTGCTTACACTTTGTTCATCCCTCCATTCCTGGGACTTGTCTCCCTATGGGTTGAGAACATTTCCTTATGCTATTGAGAAAGGACTCTGCCATGAGATTTTTGGGGTCAGTGTGCTGGGGGCGGCAGTGAGTGCATACAGGTTCTGAGCTGAGGCTTCTAATAGCAAAATGGGTTGCTCCCAGCCTGACTGCACATCTGCCATTCCCAATCAGAAGAGCAGACCCCATGTTGTCATCACTTCCAGCCTGTGTCTCAGGATGACAGACACACAAAGCAAATGGGAACTCGGGCTCAGCATGTCTAGCTAAACCACACGCTTGTGAATGAGAAGTACGTGTTTGTGCTGCGGCCATGGAAAATATTCTGGAGTTGCTTTTAATGTATCATTCTCACAACAAAACCCTAATTCATATAATTTGTATCAGCATATATCATGACTTGGGAGTGGAGGCAGTGTAAACTGGCTAAAGATTTGTAGTTACTATCTATTTTGTTCTGAATATATTAACCTAGAAAATGTGATTAAGGCAAAATTCTCAATTAGCAACTAACACTTTAAAATATTTAGTTTCAGCAACCATGCAGTTGTGGGTCAGCATTAACTTAAGGGTAGTTTTGAAATCAATTTGTAATGCATCTTACTTTATGGTTTCTACATTTTTCCTGAGTTGCAAATCACAATAATGTAATATCCTTTATCATCTCTTATTTATGCATGTAAATGCATGCACACACATATTCTATAGTACGCTGATATCAAAGACATGAGTTGTTTTATACACATCTTGAAGTTCACAGTAAGGTTTAACATAGACTTTTACTTATAGTAAGACTGAACATATATATACAGAGTTAACATTAAAATGGCATATAATGATACTTACCTCCTTAAAACAACAGAAAAATAATTATTCGTACAAAAGTCAGCACCCCCAATCTTCCTCATTGCAATTTTTTATTGTTTTACATATTAGTGAAAATACGTTGAACTGGACAAGATTTTTGATAAGTGGAAGTGTTGGATAGTTTTCATTTGCAAACAACAAAAACATACTTAAATGGAATTTTCTTAGATTGCTCTGTCAGTACTGATTTACATTTGTCTTTTCAGTGTTTTAAGAGGCCAAGCTCCACCTACATATCACACTTAGTAATAGACTGCTTCATGTTATTATTTATGAACGCTCTAGTTCTCATAATTCTATGGTAGAGAAACTGTCAAATTGTGTATTCGTGAAAACAAGCAACAATATAGTTCTGTTTTTCTCTGTATTAAAGATATGTGAATGTGATTTCCATGAAACAGTCAATTATTTCTTGCAAACTCTTGCTTTGACTGTTAAGAAATAAATCTGGGCAAGAACTTTCTTCCTTTAATCTTTCCTTGAAACATTAACTGGCCAGGAAGCAATTATTTTGGTTGATCTACATGTTCTTAGCATTTGAACTTGAGGTGATTACTCCTTCCTCCTCTGGAGTAATTGGCCTTAGTGACCACAGAGTTCTCAGCTGTGTCAGAGATAGACACTTCACTTTGTCCTGAATTTTTGCAGGCTGCAATATAAAAGCGTAAGATATGTCTAACATATAGCAGAAATAAAATGATAAGAATGCAAACATGTTTAAACATATCATATTGAGATAGGAGGTGGGACTGGATTCCAGAGGTGGGGCTTAGACACTGGACCAAATTGAAGACTGGCTAAGCAGAGCCTATGGCGGAAGTAGCTTTCCATAAAACATGTCCAGCAGTGTGTCATGTCAGTTTACCATTGCACAGCAACACGCAGAAGTTACTGCCCTTTTCCATGGCAATTACCTGACAACCAGAAGTCACCACTATTTTCCTAGAAATTGTTGAATAAACTGCCCCTTAATTTGCGTATAATTAAAAGTGCATATAAATATGACTGCGGAACAGCCTCTGAGCTGCTAATCTGGGCACACTGCCTACGGGATAGCCCTCCTCTACTGCTTCTGTGCACTGCTGCCTCAGTAAAACTCATTGTTTAATGCTACCAACTTGCCCTGGAATTCTTTCCAAGGAAAAACCAAGAACCCTCCCAGGTTAAGCCCCAGTTTTGGGGCTCACCTGCCCTGTATCAATATTATGGCTGAAAATGTCACCAAGTGTCAAAAGTTTCCAGCCATTATGTTCTTACTCAATAGTAGTTTATTAATTCATTCACTTTTATTTAATTCATTCAGTGCATTGGTGAATCAATCACTCAATAACTTCAAAGGCAATGGGGTATAGTAGAAAATATGGCCTTTAAATAAAATTGGATTTGATACTCTCTTTTACAGCTTATTAGTTTTCTAATCTTAGGAAATATATATAATATTTCTAGGTACCACTGTTCTCTTTGCACAGGAATAACGATACACACTTAATCAGACTAAAAAGGTAAATTACACTATGTAACAGGTTTGCTATGTGTGAGCAGGCACCAATATACTTATTTCTCTCGTTCCACATTAGTAGGATTTTTGAGTATATTTCTTGTTCCCTTTACCATCTTACACACATTAGCTAAGCTTTTAAAAATAAAGAAACACAGGCTAGACATCAATTATGAGATTCAACTCAACACAGAAAGTTTACCAACATCAAGGTGTATAAAGCTCAATTACCTAAGATGCATGGATGTGTATTAAAAACAAAATGCTTTATTCTCTTATTTCCTGTGGTCCCTGAGTATTTAAAACAACGTAGGTTGACAACACCAGATTGCTTTTAATAGTTAAACTAGAAATTATTTTCATGACACATAGGAGAAGGTGAGGGCCTATACAGTTAACAGGGAAATCAAAAACACATGCAGCAGCCATAGGTCTCTACATGGTTTAACAACCTGCATTTCTAAATCGTATTTTCAGGCTTAGGCATTTACCAGCTTCATCGGTCTTTTGTTTCTTTAAAGTAAACCATCTGTGACATGAAAATTTTTTGTGTCCATGGTTTTTAAGAAATCTAATAATTGTAGAAGAAAGTTAAACAATCAAACATCCAGCTCTTTTCAGGATGAGACTTCCCCTAATTTTCTAAAACTATGGGGGAAGAAAACACAGTGGGAAAAAACACATAACTGACTTGTTATTTTTTTTCCCACAAAACAAAAAAAAATTGTATTTGGTAATTGCATGTATATGCATATAGAGTTGTATATATTCATATACATGTATTTGCTCAAAATATAGTCTAATATTACTCAAAATTATAGCCCATTTAAGAAACAGTTTAGTAATTTGCAATCATCAAACTATGTCAGTTATGGTTACATGTAATGTATTTATTGTAAAGTTTTTGGTGTTTTGTTTTGTTGTTTTGTTTCATTTTGTTCCAGAGATGAGCTCTTGATATGTTGCCGAAGCTGATCTTTAACTCCTGGCCTCAAGTGATCCTCCCACCTTGGGCTCCCAAAGTGCTGGGATTGCAGGCATGAGCCACTGCACCTGGTCTGTTTTAAAGTCTTATGTTTGCGTCAACAATATAGCACCGTTTGTACTCATAAATCATACCTTAAAATAACAAAGGAGGTACTTAGAAGAAGGAAGACTGCTTGATTCATGTACAGAATGAAAAAAAAATGTTTTGCAGACAGTCTGCTAAGAGACTGTTACATTGTGTATATGAAAGGAACAAACCAAAAGCTTTTTGGCCCCTACCTGCTCAGTGTATGTGATCTTCTGTTAATGTCATGTAATTAAATATATAAGGGTGTGTATGTGTATGTGTGTGTGTGTGTGTGTGTGTGTGAAATATGTACTTCTGTGGAAGCACAGTATATAGAGAAAAGTTCATAAATTATGTGTGCATCTTGATGAATTTCTATGAAATAAACACACCCATGGGACCAATGCCCAGACTGTGAAATAAATTATGAGTCGATCATTACTGTACAGCACCGATTACACCTCCTCCCTGTCATTACTACATCACCCTCCCCAAAGCGTAACCATGTTGTTGACTTCTAACATCATAGATTCATTTGGAATGTTTTTTGTTTTCTGCTTTTATGTTTTTTTTTAAATTCTGGCTTCTTCTACCAATATTATATTCGATGTTGAGATGTGAAAAAAGGTGAGAATTAGTACATTTTTGCATGGATGTACTACAATTTATGTTTTCTGGTATAATGATGATGAACAGAGGGGTTTCTAGTTTGCAATTATTATGAATGAAATTACTATGAACAATCATGTAAACACGTCTTGGTGCAAGCACATACACATTTCTTTCGGATATTTTTAAGTGGAATTGTTGTCATCAGACATAGACATGTTCAGAATATGGAGACCCTGTCAAAAATTTCCCCACATAGCTTTACCAATTTACACACCCACGTTACACAAATGTTTCTGATTCTTCCCATCATTAGCAAGATCATTTTTAAAATTTCACATTTCTGGTGAGTTTGTAGTATTGTCTAACTTAATTTGAAATGTATTTCCCATAGGACTAATAATTTGAAGCACCTTTTTAAAAATTTTTTTTTCAGACATTGCCTCACTCTGTTGCCCAGGCTGACGTGCAGTGTATGATCTCAGCTCACTGCAGTGTCTACCTCCTGTGCTCAAGCCATCTTCCCACCGAAGCCTCCTGCATACCTGGGACTGCAGTTGCATGCCACCACGCCTGGCCAATTGTTTTCTTAGAGCCAGTGATACGGTTTGGCTTTGTGTTCCTACCCAAATAATATGTCGAATTATAATTCTCATTGTTGGGGGAGGGGCCTAGTGATAGGTAATAGGATCATGTGGGCAGATATCCCCCATGCTGTACCCATAATAGTGACTGAGTTCTCATGATATCTAGTTGTTTAAAAGTGTGTAGAGCTTCCCGTTTGCTTTTCTTTCTCTTGCTTTGTCCACGTGAAGACCTGCCTTGTTTCCCCTTCCCCTTCCCTCCGCCATGATTATAAGTTTCCTGAGGCCTCCCCAGCCATGTAGAACTGTGAGTCAATTAAACATCTGTTCTTCGTAAATTACCCAGTCTCAGGTAGTTCTCTTGTAGCAATGTGAGAACAGTCTAATACAGACGGGGTGTCTCCATGTTGTCCAGGCTGGTCTTAAACTACTGGACTCAAACAATCCTCCCACCTTGGCGTCCCAAAGTTCCGGGATTACAAGTGTGAGCTACCACGTTAATGATCATTTGGATATCCTGCACACATGTGTGTATGTGTGTCAGGCACATTATACTTATATAAGTCTTTAGTCTATATTTTTATTACCTTGATTGTCTTTTATTATTACTATTTTATTACAAGAGTACTGATATACTCTACATCTTACTCTTTATTTCTTATAGGTGTTATAGGTAATCTCTTATTTCTCAGCTGCCTTTTAATTCTTTTAATTACATCTTCTGTTCTGTGACTAGACCTACTTGGTATTATTGATTTCTTGTCTTGTAAGTGGCTGGAATGTTTTGCTAATATTGTGCTTTTGGCTTTTATACTTATAATTAGGAGGAAAAGTCCTTAATTGTCATCTCTGTGATATAATTATCAGATTTGGGTAGCAGGATTAGGATGCTCCCCCAACATACGTTGAAAAGTGTTTTCTCCTTTTCTATGTTCTAGAGAAGTTTGTGTAAAAGTGGCGTTATATCATCTTTAAGTATTCAAAAGAATTCACCAATGAAGTCTTAGGACCCGTAAAAAGGAGTGAAAATTCATTCAGCCTGTTTAATAGATATTGGACTGCTCAGTTTTTTGTTGTTCTTATGTCTACTTTCTTCATTTATGTTTGTTCTAGAAATACATCTACAACTAAATTTGAAAATTTTTTGATATCAATATAATTTATAATCTATTTTCTTTGGAATAGCTATAGGATATGTTATGATAACCAATTTATTCCTCTTTTTTCTGTTTTTTCTTGATTCCTACATTTTAAATTAAATTTTTTCAAGAAGTTACATTTGATTATGTTATCATCCTCTTTTACAATTTTCTATGCAATTAATTTCCTGTTATTTTTATTATTTATCTCATTCTACTGACTTTGAATTTAAGCTACTATATTTTTAAGATCCTTAGATAAATGTTAATTAATTATGTAAAGTATTCCTTCAAGGCTATGTATTTTCTTAAACATAGCTTTAACAACATACCAGCAATAACGTTGGACTATTGTCATTTAATTTAAAATACTCGCTATGTTGATTTTTATTCCTTCATTAAGTACTGTATTATGTAGGTGTCTATTGCTGAATTTCTAAATTTTAAATAATTTACTGGTTATATTTTCATTGCTGATTTCTAGTTTATTTTGCCCTATTGTCAAAGAGCTTACTGTATTTGAGTCCAATGCTTTGAAATTTTCTGCGATTTGATTTATTGCCAAGCATAAATTCAGTTTGGAAAATCTTTCATAATCATTTCAAAACAAATTGTATTGTAATATTTTGTGGTGAAGTGGTAGGTATAAGTCAATAAAATTAGGTGTGTTGTTCAATTTATTATAATTTTCTATTTCTCTATTAATTTTTATTTTTTCTAAGGGTTACAAAAAGAAGGATGTTAAAACTTTCACTCGCATTATGGCTTTGTCTGTTTCTAAATTTTTTGCCATTTTTGCTTCAATATGATACTATATCACAGGTGCACCTAAGTGTAGAACATATTATACTGTCTAGTGTATTTCCCATTTATTATACAATGTCTCTATTTCTTTCTGATATTTTTCTTTTTCTACTCAAATTTGTATAACATAGCTACATTAGGTTTATTTTTATTGGGGTTTGCCATGAAAGTCTTTTTTGAATTTTGTTTTCTTTCAGCTGTTCTTTATCTCATATTTAAGAATGTCACTTGTAAGCAGCATAAAGTGTAGTATGTATTTTTTTTTTTTTTTTTTGTCTGAGACGGAATCTCACTCTGTCCGCCTCGGCCTCCCAAAGTGCTGGGATTACAGGCGTGAGCCACGGCGCCCGGCCTCAGTGAAGTTTTAACTGTATTCTTATCTCAGAGTAACTTACCTACTTTGCTGAAACTCGGAGAAGCGGGGGTTAGAGTACACCTTACATGAATATGTTAAAAGGGTATACGCAAATCAAACGTGTATGTGGGTTTATTTATTAACATAAATATCTGCTGAACTTAGAAGTATCCGAAGAGAAATAAGACAATGTTCCAGTTATTGAAGGTCTCATTGTATCTCTGAGAAGACAGTGTAAACAATTAATTATAATACGTCAAAAGTTCTCTAATTGTACACACATGGGTGGCAGCAGTGAGAAAGGAAACCTTTACTGCCTGGCTCCTCACTGATAACATAGGCTTTGAGATGCCGTAATTACTGATTATAGGTTTAAGCTTTGACAACTACGATCTTAGCGCATCTTAATCCTGCTAGTATTCTTTTTCCCGTCAGAATATTTTCTTTTCACATAATGTTTTTAATTGGCTCAATGGTTTACTCTTTTAAATAACTTTTATGGTTGTTTGAAATCTTAAAATAAGTTGCATCTCATGTCATTTTTGCTTTCTCTGTATGGTACTTTCTCAGTCCCCTCCATATTCTGCAGACACAGCAAATTCATTTTAATATCCCGGCTTTACCCTGAGTCATTCTATTCTTTGTATCTTTCTTTTTGCAACCCCTTACATACATATTCAGCTTTCCTCAAGCCCCATTCTAACCACAAGCCAACTCATATAACCGGAGTGTCACCTCTTAGGTTCAATTCCAGATTGTGAGTCACTCCAAGATTCAGAGGCAGATCCACAAACTCCCATCACTCCAACCCTCTCACCAGACTCTGTAATCGTGTAATATTTATCTTCATGTCACCCGTATGTAGGGAGTTAGAGGGAAAATATAGGACCACAAGGTGTTAGTAGTGTGCACAGCTTTTTGAGAGCTGCTTTGACAGGTTTGCACAGTGGAGGTCCCTCTGGGAAGGACCCGATCCGGAGGCTACAGTGTGGCCAGCTGAGTTGGCATGAACCATAAAGAGAGCAAGGCAGCTCCTGGAGGAGAGAAGGACTGGAGAGGGGCTCAATGTCTAGATGATGTGGTTCGGCACCATGGAAAAGACTCTCTTGATTAGACAGCGTTGAAGCACAGCAGAGGCTTGAGGTCCTTATAGCAAAAGGGTTTATCGCATCTAGGCCTGTAAGTTGGGGGTAGTTTTGTGAGGAATACCAAGTAGGTAGGTTCTAAGTAGCTAAACATCTACTTCTTTGGGCTATGTTTAAAACAACTGGACGTGCAAATTTAAGTTTGGCGCCTACAGGCTTTAGAATGGGTGTTCACCTATTATGAGGAAATAAATAACCCAGAGGCCAACACACAGAGGAGATCTTTGGCTCTTTTCCAGAACTCGGTGCCCAGCACAATGCATGGCACATACAGGGACCGCGTACGAATCTGCCAAAAATATACAGTCAAATTGTTTTGCTTGATAGAATAACGTTTTAAGTCTCTAATAACCATCCAATTTCATTCCACTTATAGAAAGTAAAACAACAAAGTAGCCCAAAGCTCTTGGACCCTGTTTTCAATGATCTTACCATTATCAAAAAATATCCAATGTACCTGAACTTTACAGAAAGTAGAACAAAATTTTAATATGTATACATTGGAAAAGTAACAGATATTAGTAGAAAATATATCAAAAAGTATTACTTATTATGCTAATTTTTAGGAGTCAGCTATAAGAAGAAGACATTATTCAATATTAGTTTAGAAACTGATGTGTCTACAGCTCTCTGGTGGTCAATTCATATCTCAGATTCCTTTCAGTGTGCGTGTGATTCCTATGTGCCCATAAGCTTCTGATTTCAAAATTAAAGAAATTAGCCTCAAAACACTATTCACGATAGCAAAGACTTGGAACCAACCCAAATGTCCAACAATGATAGACTGGATTAAGAAAATGTGGCACATATACACCATGGAATACTATGCAGCCATAAAAAATGATGAGTTCGTGTCCTTTTTAGGGACATGGATGAAGCTGGAAGCCATCATTCTGAGCAAACCATCGCAAGGACAGAAAACCAAACACCGCAAGTTCTCACTCATAGGTGGGAACTGAACAATGAGAACACTTAGACATGGGATGGGGAACATCACACACCGGGGACTGTCTTTGGGTGGGGGGAGGGGGTAGGGATAGCATTAGGAGATATACCTAATATAAATGACGAGTTAACGGGTGCAGCACACCAATATGGCACATATATACATATGTAACGAACCTGTACGTTGTGCACACGTACCCTAGAACTTAAAGTATAATTTTAAAAAAATAAATAAATAAAAATTAAAATTACAAATAGAAATTAGCCTCAAAAATGTACTCAAAGCTTATCAACTCATAGTAGTATCCCTGGATTTTCTTTATTCTACTTTTGTCACTCCTTAAATGTAAATATCCTCATCACATTTTGATCCTCATGAATGCTCCAGCGGAGTAGAACTGTGTGCACTGGAAATAAACACCTTTCACATTGCTATTCAGAAACCATAGGTTTATTTCTCTTTATTCAGCAGGACTGTAATTTTTTATATAAGGGTCACATATTTACTCTACATTGTATTTTTTAAAAATCATAGCTTTATCTCTATATCCAGTTTCACTTATGTACTTGTTTCTAATACAATAGCTAAATTAATCCTCATATCTCCTATAAAATTAAATTGCGTCTGCATAGCCCTTAGTGTAGAGTCGTTAATACTAGAGCTGGTTCAGTGCTTGGTGGGATAATTGGTGAAGTAATCAGGAAGAGAAGGAATAAGAATGTGAATAATAATGTTGAGACTGAAAATGAAGTCATGCTGAAACGTTTGGTAAAACTGCTAGCTACAATAAATGGTCAAGCAGCCCTTGCCATCCAAGGTTTTGCCTTTAGGAAAGAAATTAGAAAAACGTAGAACATGATGTATATGGGCTACTCTTTGAAGTGTTCAGGAAAGAACTGAAATAAAATTAAACATAGGCAAATATTAGCAAGTTTGCAGACTTCAGGCTGAGAAAAGTCTTTAATAGACTTGTATTCCATTCCATCTCTCTTTTCAATGTAAAGTATTTAAGTGCCCAGAAATTTCGGGTCTCCTAGGATTAGAAAAACTAATTACTGCTATACATCAAACAATAGGAGATAAGTTTATCAGCTTCCTTCTCGAGAGCCTTGCACTATGAATCTAAATAAGATCATAGGAGTTAGCCCAGAGCACAGAGGAAAGTTCCTTTTTCTCCTTCAAGTCTACTCTATGCTTTCTCTGCCCTTCTCTTCGCCCTAGAAAACTTACCCCTACCAAGGGCACCATCACAATTTTCTTCTCCCTTTGGCTCCTATTTGACCAATGGGAAAGAAGCAGTGGACTTTAGGGCAAGAGAATAAAGAGATCAAGGTGTTCAATAGTTGCTGTATTCTTTCTCCTGTTGGACAACCTCTTCCCTGGAGATTCTACTCTCTCCTGTTCTGGTAAAAGTTCCTTTCTGGACCTGCAGTTCTCAAAGAGTAACATTCTGCTATTCTGACTCCCTGGATACTTCATCTCCTTCCTACCCATATCTCTGTAAAGCCCCTTAGGATCTCTTCAATTACCCTGCTGAGTTTGCCATCAGTTTCCAGCCGGAATCTTGAAACCAAGCAGTCCTTTAGACAGCCTGCAGGTGTCTTCCATGAAATCAAGGGAAAGAGCAGTGGGCCAGTCTCATGGGACAGTCCAGGAGTTCAGGTCACAGGCTGAAATACTAAATCATTGCTCCTTCTCATTTCATTTTTCCTTCCTGAATTCTTTTGTATTATTTGAATGCTTTTAAAATTTCCATTTTGTTTTATGTATTCTCTTTTTAACTATAACTTCTTGTATTTTTTTTGTAGTCACTCTAGAGGTCAATATACAGTCTTACTTTTCACAGAATACTTAGAGTTAATATTTTACCATACACAAAACATAACTTTTCCCACACATGAAGTAGAAAAATCTTCAGCAGTATGTTTCCTACCCGCGGGTCTGTCCTTTAAACTAGAATCATTATATATATATAAAATAAATCCACGTGTGCCATCATCCCATGATGTAGTGTTAGAATGTTTAATTATTTGTATATTAAATAAATTAAGAGGGGAAATTTTCTCATATAGTTGCCTTTATAGTCATTATTTTCAGGGCTCTTTAACTCAGCCTAAAGATCATAATCCAACTTAAATTCTTTCCCTTCGGCCAGAAGAGCCGCGTTTATGTTTCTTACATTGAAAGCCTGCTCACAAGCAGTTTCTCTTGGTTTTCATCGACTGAAAATGCTTTATTTTGCCTTCATCCTTGAATAATGTTTTCTATGAAACAGAATTCTGTGTAGGAAGCTCTCATTTTGTTTTTCTTTTAGGACTTTGAAGTTATGGTCCTGTTGTTTCTGATGAGAAACCAGCAGTCACTGATATTGCCCCAACTCCGTGGAACATGTTACTTGTCTCTGTGGCATTCACAATTCTCTTGCTATACTTAGTTTTCAGCAGTTTAACTGTAACATTGCTTCAGTCATGTTTTCTTTCTATTTATCCTGCTTATAACTTATTTACCTTCTTGAAGCTGAAAATTTATGTTATCTTCAAATTTTGGTAATATTTAATTATCATTTCTTCTATCCTAACACTTTTTCAGACAGGGCTTTGGTCTATTGCCCAGACTGGGGTGCAGTGGTGTAATTTGGCTCACCATAACGTCTGCCTCCTGGGTTCAAGGGATCCTACCACCTCAGCCTCCGAGTAGCTGGGACCACAGCTTCAATACTTTTATGTCCCCTTTTCATTTTACTCTCCTTCTAGGGTCCCAATTGTTACGTCAGCCCTTTAGAGGTCACAGAGTTTCTTGAAGTTCTGTTCATATCTTAACACCATTTTTTCTCTATATTTTTCAAGCTATATATTTTCATTAAGCTATTGTCAAATGTATCAACTCTTCTGCCATGTCCATTTTGCTATTAAGTGCACACATTATTGTTTAATTGAAATTAATTTTTATTCTAGAATTTTCACTTGATTTTTCTTATAGTTTCTATTTAACTCTGAAAGTTTCTATTTTTTCATTCTTTATGAGCATATTTTTCTTTACAGTTATGATTATATTCATAACAACTACTTTAGAATCACTTTTCTGCTTGTTACAATATCTGAACCTTGCTTGAGGTAGGTACAAATATGGCTTAAATTGTCATTTTTTCTTATTTTGTGTAATTTTGGATTGTATTCTTCATAGCATGAATGACGTATTACAGAGACTTTAATTACATCGCTTTTCTGAAGAGTACCAATATTTTATTTTAGCTTTCAGTTAACTCAATGAAAATCAGACGACACACTCTCAATGTTCTCCCCACATACCAAATATTCCATGGTGAGGCAAACATAGGATAACTATTACTGGCACTTCATTCAAAAGGGAAGGGAAATGGGATTTCTCATATATGTTAATTTCAAATCTCACTTTTAATTACTTGTTCTACGACTTCAGAGAAAAATGGGTCACTGGTTTTAAACCTGCTAGCCATCCTGTGAAGCAGATATTAATATTGCCATCTGATTTCGGCAAATAAGGTTCATATTGACAAATTGTGTAAAGCACCAGGCACATGGTACTTCATCTGTCTCCCGTTTTTCCATGCCTAGATTTCTCTGGCCTTGTTTTACACTGTGCTGTGTCTCCACTGGGCCTGGTCCAAGTCACTGCCTCGCTTGTCCTCTTTGCCTGCTCCAGTTGGTCTCAGTCAGTCAGAAGTAATGGCAGGAGGCCTGAGGGTTGGTTAAAGGAGAGTTTGGAGAACTCTTTACCTCTCCCTTCCCTAGGATATTGCGTTCGTTCTGAGTCCTTCTCGTCCAGGGTTCCAGGTGACCTTGCTCACCAAGAAAACTATTCAGCTTGGTGCTTCCAACATAGGGGCATTCAACAGATGTCTTCCCATTCCTGCGGTCCCTGCGAACCACAACAATCCAGAATTGCTTCCCTCACTCTGCCTGCCTCTGAAAATAGCTTCTCCATTGAGTTCTCACTACAATTATAATTGGGGGCAACATGTTTCCTAACAAGAACCTAGCCAATATTCTTTTTTCTCCCTTTTCTTTTTCTATTTAAAAAAATCTTGGCAATGTTTACAGTCATGTGACACTTAGCCACTAGGATATATTCTGAGAAATGCACCATTAGGCGATGTCATCATTGTGCGAGCCACACAGAGTGTACTTACAGAACTTAGATGGAACAGACTCCAACACACCTAGGATACATACTGAAGCCGATTGCTCCTAGGCAACAGACCTGTGCAGCAGACTGTAGTCAATTATAACACAATCGTAAGTGTTTGTGTTTCTAAACGTATCTAAACACAGAAAAGGTACAGGAAAATAATGTATTATGATATTATGGGACAACTATGATGCATACAGTCTGTAGTTGACCAAAATGTAGTTATGCAGGATTGTGCAGTGCGTGACAGTACACACAAACACACATACACACACACACACACACAAACCAACAAAGAGCGATTAAACATATGGAACGATCTTCCATTACTGATTAATACAATTGCATTTTAATCAATCAAAATCAATGAAGGGCAGTTATGGAGCAGGCTGAGTTTAGAAGCCGTTTTATTCACGCTTGAGTTCAGCCTCAGCTATAAAAGTATTACACCCATTTCCTCATAGTTTGTTATTTTTCTGTTGTTAAACTATTCTCTAGATGCCAGAGCAATGGATGCCAAGCACATGTTGGCATAGATGAATCTTGTTAAGGGCCCAGGAATATAGAAGTGAAAGAATTATTGCAGACGCCTCAAGTGACGCAACCAGCACCTCTCTGCTCTTAAAAGAAATGACTTCTGTTTTAAGGAGGAAGCATGTGTCCCACCATCCCCCTACGGTGCTTGGAGTTCCAGAATCAATTTGATGAACTTGATGCCACAAGCAGTCATTTGCATATTATGAATCTGTTTGGCATCTGGTGGGTGGAATTTTGATGGGCCACCAGTGCTCACTAAGGTAGGTAATTCAGAACACGCAGACATTGCCTTAATCTGAAGGAGGGCTGCGTGGTTGACAGCTGCAGCCAACTTCTGCTGTGTTCATTACTGGCTACCTGTAGAAGAGTGATAAATAACGGAGGGCAAAAAAGGGGGATTTTCATTCATAAGCTGGTTTTCCAGTCATAAGTGACATTTCTCACAGTCATTTTCCTATTTCTTAATCTGTTTCAATTATAATTCATGCAGTGTTGAGCAACTTCTGTAATCTCCGTGAGCCACAGTTTTACTCTCTGTACTCTTAGAGGGTTGAGAAGTGTGATAAATAAAAGACAATTTGCAAAAGAAAATCTCATTTTCCTTACTTCATATGCATATGGGTGGTAATTTCTATCTCTCGGGGTTACTATAAGGATTAAATGAGACGACAAATATAAAACAGAAACATAGAAGACTCAAAAAAATGTTCGTTTACATTTACCAATTTAATTAACGAGTTAGCTAAAATATGCTGGGTCCATAGTTTAGGAGCTGGAGAGAAGAATTTAAACATATATCTGTTATATATTTATATGTTTACATATGTATGTATATACAAACATGTAAAAGAATGTTAGGTGAATTTTTAATTTTTTTTTCTGGTGTTTCACTAAGACCTCATGTTAGAAACAAGAACTTAAAACACTCATTTTCTACAGAAACTACCAGCTGGACAACAATTCCCTGAAAGAAAACTAGGAGGTAGCAGAACTGGCCATCATTCCTATTCCTTCCCCCAAGTTTAAGAAGAGGTTAATGGGAAGGAGAGTGAAAGTAACACAATCCTTTGGGTGATGCCGTATTCCTTGTAAATGATGTACCTTGGACCTGCCCTACAAACTCTGGGGGTGAAGACGCTCCTTAGTAGAGAGTAATTAGATGTACACGCAGGATGTGATGGGAATCTTCACAGGCAGCTTCCTGGGCTGCAGATAGTCACAGTCCAACCTAGTGCTGCTTTCTTATTAGCAAACATGAGAGCTTTTGGACGAGTTGGACATAATTTCCTCAAGTATAGGAGTGTATTTGCACAAAAAGGCTGGTACCCACTTCTGGTGCACAGAAAACAGAAGATACGAGGCTGCCAGCAAGGTCAAAATGGCTCTTGGTAAGAGTCTGGGAAAAGGTTAGGACAATGCTTATCTCAGCTCTGCTGGGCCCCACGTGGCATGGAAGGAGACTTTAGTCATTCTAGATAGGTTCTACTTGAGGACACATGCTAGTATAAGATGACGCAGATAGTGTAGGTCTCTCCAGGAAGTCCTGAGCCAGGCAGAACCCACATGACAGAGTTTGGGTGCATCCAGTCAGAACTGTTATTTCTGTAGGCATCAGCAAAAGATTAGGCTGTCTCTGAGGGGCTGTTCAGTGGCTGGCACTACCAGGCAGGGTGAGGCTGAATATTAACCCAAGGGAAAAATGTGTATCTAGTAACTACTCAGATAATCTTGGAATTATTACTTAATTTCTAGTTTCAGTTTTCAGACCTCTAAAATATTTTTTAAAAATATTATCTCCTTTATAGGGTCGTCATGTTTTTATAAAGTTTCTAGCACTTAGTAGGCACTATGAAGATTTTCTATCTAAGTCTAGATCTAAGGATGCATAAGCGAAGTATTTGATGCTCTGAGCTAAGAAATTTGCATCACTTTACTTAATTCATAAAACTCTAGAAGTTATTAAAGAGGCAAAATAATTTGCCCACGTCACAAAATTTGTAAAATTAAAGTCATGATCGAAACCCAAATATAATTCATAATCATTTTCTGGGACTGAGCACCACAGAAAGGGGCACTTAATCACTGAAGTAATACCAAGTACAACATTCAGCTAATGGGAATAAGAGTATTATTTTGCATATACTCTCAGTTACTAATAATTGGAAATGTTGGCTACATTTACTTTATGTGTGCATTATAGGGTATGAGCCTGCTGAAGGATTTTGAGTACATGGCTGCCTTGGAGAATATGCTGATTAAATCTCTGCATTTTACTTCCAATAAATTTTTCCCTGTCACTGTGAATTATGTGATCGTAAAGGGCAATCAATTGAGAGAAGAACTTTTCCCAGTATCCTAACCCTATGATTCCTAGAAACCAAGCACAACTTAAATAATTGAATAAGGAACCACGAATGACTTTGGTACAGACTTATTTTATTGCTAGAAAAATCTATTAACACTGTTCAACTCCCACTGAGAGAATTGAAATGTTAAAGAAACCATTGCCTTTATTTGATTATTAAATTTAGATACCACAAACTAGCTAAGAAATGAAGCGTTTGTCTGTTATTTACTTTGAAGGGGAAAATGGATGCAGTATTTTTAAACAGTTTGCATCAGGCACAGAAATAGGTCATTCACGCATTGTTTTTTAATTTAAACATCTCAGAAACCCTTTGGGGTTAGCAATATCTTCATTTTGCAGAGGAAAAAATCTTCAGGATAGCAAATTACCCAATGTCACACTCTTTGACATGAATATTATGATATGTTTTAAAAAATTATTTGACAAATTGGTCATTATTTCTGAAAACCAGAAGACATTCTTTAAGTAGCTATTTGAATTATGTTAGGTAATTCTCAATTTTATGTACCCAAGTGAGAGAATGATCCAATTATGAATAAACTCAGACCTACGAATAGACATTTAGATAGTTGAATATGTATTAAAATTTGAGTCAAATGGAAAATAGCCAAATATATCAGTACATTCTTTGAGTTAAGTTTAGTTCAGCACAAATATGGAGTGTCTAGTATATGGTATAATTTATTCATTTATTATTCTATTAATAAAACTTAATGTATACCTACTATATGCAATAATAAATTATACAACAATAGAGATGCAGTAACAAATGATATTTTCATTATCTAAAACTGAAATGTGATTAAAACATATACAAAGTAATACACAGAAAATGATCCACAAATGAACAAGGATAGGAGTGCAAAAAAGATGAAAAAAACAATTGATAGAAGTTAAAATCTCCAAAGTTAAACATATAATAAGAAATTTCAAAATCATGTGCTAAAATAAAAGCAAAAATAAAATAACACAAATGATATACTATACCTACTGAACTTCTGAAAAACAAAAGATAATGACTAGATAATGCCAAGTGTAGAATAAGATTTGGGTATAGTGAACCCGCACATACGACCTCGGAGAATATACTGAGGACTATTCTGCTGCACTTGTCAGGTGATTCTCTTCTTACATCCACATCCCAAAAAACTTTTCACAAAGATCCATGAGAACACTACCAACATGTCCATGGCAGAATCACTGATGATTTTGAGGAGCAAAATAGCTATTACTAGTAGGATAAAAATAAACTGCAAATGAATTTCCATGACTATAATTGTTATGATGTGAGAGAGAGAAATTTCAGTAGAGAATGTGGACAAAGGTAATAAATAAATGACATAAGAGTGGTGTTTGGTACCGGTAAATAATGTACTGTGACCTGAGGAATACAACTGAATACTTATGACATGAAGTCGAAAAATAAAAATAAAAATCAGCATTATTTTTTTACCCTAGAGAAACCAATTAAAACTATCTCTATAGTAATTTCATTTGCAATATTGGACAGGACTTTCAAGTATATAGAAATAAGCACACACATGCACACAGAATTATACAGATATATATACACACACACACACATACACACACATATATATATATAATGTGATTGATTGTGTGCATATGTATTTGTGTGTGTGTGTGTCTTTGTCACAGACCCCAGCACAAGGTCTGCTGCAGGAAACTCTGATGCCAAGTGATACCTGTGGCTCCAGGACCCAAGTCAGTCCTTATGATCCCAAGCACCATGCTGGCACCTGAAGACCCAGCTCCAGGCCGGCCTCTGCAGCTCCAGGTTACAAGCTCACCCTAGCACTTACTTAATCCCCATGGACCCAAGTTCCAGGCTTCCTCCCACCCTTGCCCCTGGATCTAGGACTCAGGTCTGCTGCACATGGTAGAAGGCAACAGGCATACCCCAAAGGACCTAGGTTCCAGGCCTGCCCCATTAACACAAACTGTAGGCCCACCCCTGCAGAAAAATACAGCAGATTGGTCCCTGTGGACTCTGGCTGTAGGCCCACTCACCTATTACTCCAAGTTCCAGCTCACCCTTCCCATGAACCCCCATGGCCAGATAATTCTGAATACATGTAGAGTCTGACTGGTGATAAAAAGGCAATCTGTAAAGACAGGGAGAAACACCAACTTTTTCAAATAGGCAGACACCAGATCAAGTTCAGCAGGATCATGAATATAATCAGGAAAATTTCATACCACCAAAGGACGAAAATAAAGTACCAATAACTGACCCTGAATAAATGAAGATCTACAAACTACCTGACAAAATCGTCCTCTTAAAGAATTTCAGTGAGTTACAATAGAACACAGGTAGGCAACTAAATATAATCAAGAAGACAATATGTGAACAAAATTTGAAGTTCAACAAAGAGAAAGAAATCATTAAAAGAGATAAACAGAAATTGTGGAGATGAAGAGCACAATTACGGAGCAGAAGAATTCAGTAGACTCAATCAAGGAAAAGAAAGAACAAGCAAGCTTGAAGACAGATCATTTGAAATTACCCAGTCAGAAGAAGAATTAAAAAGACTCATAAAACCCCTATAGGACTCACGGGAACCCATCAAGCAAACCAACCTATGCAATTTGGGATTGTCAGAGGATCAGAGAAAGAGAAAGAGAAAGAGAAAGGAATAGAAAGATTATTTCAACAAATAATGACAAAAAATTCCAAATCTGGAGAAGGAAATGAATATCCAGATCCATGGAGCCCAAAGAACCACAGATATATTAGACATAAAGAGATATTCATTGAGAGATATTACAATCAAATTCTCAATAGTCAACGACAAAGAGAGACTTCTGAAAGCAACAAGAGAAAGGGGACCTGTCATATACTAAGGAACCATCAAAAGAATATGAATAGATTTCTCATTAGATACCTTGAAGGCCAAGAGTGTGTCAACATATTGGAAGTGCTAAAATTAAAACAAACATGCAGACTGTCAACCAGAAACACTATATCCAGGAATGCTTTCCTTCAGAAATGAAGGGAAGATAAAGACTTTCCTAGGCAAGCAAAAGCTGAGGAAGTTTATCACCACAGGTCTGCCATACAAGAACTGTTAAGGAGAGTTCTTCAAGTGGAAAGGAAAGGATGATGACAACATGAAAACATATTAAGGTGTATAAAATTAGCTGTTTGGTAATAATATGATGAAATACATAATATGATAATACTATGAGGATGGTGAGTAAATCACATTTAATTGTAATAGAAGTTAGAAGACAAAGAATTAATAATTACTATAGCTAAAATAACTTGGTAATGTGTACATACTATTTAAAAAATGTACATTGTGATGTCAATAACATAAAATGAGAGGGAAAACAGGTTAAAAATGTAGAGTTTTTGTATGTCGCCAAAGTTAAATTGTTCTCAGTTTAAAATAAACTCTTATAATGATAAGATGTTTTATGGAAGCCACATAATAACTACAAAGAAAAATCCTGCAGCAGATACGCAACACATAAAAAGAATCAAAGCATACCACTACAAACATCATCACAAAAAAAAGACAGAAAAAGGAAAAGAATGAAACAAATAATCTATAAGATGGTCAAAAAACAGTTGTAAAATGGCAATAGTAAATCCTTACGTTCAATAATTACTTTAAATTTAACTAAATTATTCTATCAAAAGACAATGAGTATTTGTATTTCTGTGCCTGGCTTATTTCACTTAAAATAGTGTCTCCTAGGTTTATTGATGGTGCTGCAAATGATAGAATTTTATTTTTTTCTTAAGATTAAATAGTATTTCATTGTTCATATATACCACATATTCTTGTCTATTTATCTGATGATAAACAGGTTGCTGTTGTGTCTTAGTTATTGTGAATAATGCTGCAATAAATATGGGAGTATGCATACTTTGGGCAGAGTGATTTTAATTCCTTTGGATATGTACCCAAAACTAGCATTGCTGGATCATATGGTTGTTATATTTTGGTTTTCTGAGTATGATTTCACTACATGTAAAATCTAAAAACACTGAACTCATAAAAGTACAGAATAGAATAGTGGTTGCCAGCGTCTGGGTTGAGGATTTGATGGGGACAGGGGAGATGTTAATCAAAGGGACAAATATTATCTAATAAAATTTTTGTTAGACAGAGGAAATAATTCTTAGTGATCTGTTGCACAGAATAATGGCTATAATAAATAATAATATGATGTATATTATAACACATTATTGATAATAGAGATTTTAAATGTTTTCATTACAAAAAATAATATGTGAAGTAATGATTTTGTTAATTAGTTTGATTTAATCATTTCATAGTGCTAACATCTATTAAAACCTCACATTATACCCCATAAATATATATACAATTATTATTTGTTAATTAAAATATAATTGTATGTATATATAATTTATTTCTATACAAATAATTATAGAAATTAATATAATTACATATATATGACAATGAATGGGTGGCTGAATGAACTAAAAGAAACAAGATTCAACTATATGCTGCCTACAAAAAATTTACTTTGGCTTTAAGAACACACGTAGACTGAAAATAAAGGGATCAAAAAGATATAAATGAAAAACAAAAGAGAGCAAAGGTGGCCAAGTTTATACCACACAAAATAAATTTTATGCATGTGACAGCTAACATCACTAACATCATACTTAATGCTGAAAAGCTAAAAGCTTTTCCTCTAAAATCAGAACAAGGCAAGGCTGCCCACCTTTACCATTTCTATTCAATATAGTCTTATATGGGTTGGCTGTGTCCCCACCCAAATCTCATCTTGAATTTTAGTTCCCATAATCCCCATGAGTCATGGGAGGGACCAAGTGGGAGGTAACTGAATCATGGAGGTGCTTTCCTCCATGCTATTCTCATGATAATTAGTTCTTACAAGACATGATTGTTTTATAAGGGGCTTCCCGCTTTGTTCACTTCTCATTTTTCTCCTTCCTGCTGCCATGTAAAGAAGGACATGTTTGCTTCCCCTTCCACCATGGTTGTTAAGTTTCCTGAGGCCTCCCTAGCCCTGCAAAACTTTGAGTCAATTAAATCTCTTTCCTTTATAAACTACCCAGTCTTTGCCAGTTCTTTATAGTAGCATGAGAATGGACTAATACATGGTACAAAAAGTCCTATGAGAAGCAATGTGGCAAAAAAAGAAAATAAGAAAAGAAATGAAATATATTTAAAATGGAAAAGAAGTAAAATTATCTGTTTACACATGACATGATTGTGTACACAAAACCCTAAAAACTTCACCAAAAACTTGTTAGAACTAATAAACAAATATTTATTTTTAATTGCCGTCTTTATCTCCTTGTTAGCTATATCTAATCTTTTCTTAACATATTGTTTTTATGTCAATTATTAAAATGTTAGATAAGAAAAAATTGAAAAATAATATTTCAAAAAAGAACGAGATGCTTTTAAATTCTGACCAAGGTTATTTTCAGAACAAAAGCTCTTTAGGTCTTTTAGAATTGAGGAAAATAAAGTATCATTATTCATTTAGAGTTTGATCTTCATAAAATTAATGTCTGCATTTTTATGGGCATTGTACTGTGCTGTTTCTTATTTCTGTTTTTTCTAACTATGATAACATGTTCTTCAGTGTTCTGTGAGTTTGATTTGTGATCTCACATTTGGTAGGGCTATACCTGAGCGTATCCCAGGGATAAGGCTCCCTACAAAAAACATGAATGCCTCTTTTAATTTAATTTAATTTAATTATTTATGACAGCTCTGTCCCCCAGGCAGGAATGCAGTGGCATGATCTCAGTTCGCTGCAGCCTCTGCCTCTCAGGCTCAAGTGATCCTACTGCCTCAGCCTCCCAAGTAGCTGGGACTACATATGTGTGCCACCACACCTGGCTAATTTTTGTACTTTTTGCATGGATAGGCCTCACTACATTGCCCATGCTGGTCTCAAACTCCTGAGCTCAAGTGATCCACCTGCCTCAGCCTCCCAAAGTGCTGGGATTACAGATGCGAGCCACCATGCCCAGCAGAATGCTTTCTTTTAACTGCCGGTACTGAGCACCACCAATCATGTACTGCTTTATTTTCTGACATTAGGATGTTTCCATCCCACATTATGGTCTACGTTGGACCCATAAGCCCATGTGAGAGTAGAAGACATTCATCCATTCATTCACTTATTCATTCGTTGATTTCCTGTAAGAGTGTTTGGGGTGAAGACCACAGTTCTCTCATATCTTTGGCTGGTGGTCACACTTTTCTCTGGTCCCTGTGTTCAGTCAACATGGCTTTCTCAGGTCTGGATTCCTATGGTGTTCTCAGTTTGAGCTCTAAAACATGAATGAATGCCAGGCTTTGGATTCTTTCTGGGCAGGGGCATTCTGTCCCAAGTCCCTGGGCCATGATAAGCCCAACGGGCCATGTGATTCCATTGTTCAGGGCTGTTCTAATGTTAGGTTTGAATTAGTCATCAGATGCTAGTTCCCTTTCCATCTTTAGTCCATAGGAATGTTTGCAAAGTTATTTCAAGTACAATTGTTTACTTAAAGGCACATTTGTTGATTTAACTAATATTTTTCTTTAAAGAGTTAAACGTTTTGGTCCTATGTAATTTTATATTACTAGAAACAAATAATCTGGAGATGTGTTTACAGTAACAAAATAATAGTTTTGTAACATTACCTATCTACTAATTACTAAATTTCCTGACTTTTAAAGCCATTTATAAATGGTAAATATTTGAAATCTATCACAAATATAAAGTGAGAACACTTTTACCTTCTTCTTCCATACCCCAATCCACCCCCAATAAAAGTGCTATACTCTCAACCATCTCCCTTCACAGAACTTGTGTTTGACCTGCAGGTTCTCTGTGAAAAAGAAAATCTATCCTGTGTCCAGGGCAGACCTCCTTTCCTTTGACTCCCTTCCAGGAAGGTCTCCTATTCTGCCTATAAGAAAAGTAGTACTTTACTTTTTCATTATTTCCCAATTTCAGAACCAACTTCAAGGATCAGGAGATGGTGCCCCATGTCCAAGATAGGGTCTTCAAATTATAAATGTACTGTTGTTTTATAATTACTTTGTTAAAATTCATTTTTATAGTCTATCTTTGTTAGCATTTTTACTCTTAAATGGCAATGATAAAATACAAGGTTTTCTTTTTTACTTTATTTTGTATAATTGCATAGTTTGGGATGGCTTAATCAGTTTTTAATTTATCAAAAATCTAGTTAGATGACTTAATTAGTGATGGGTAATTGTGCTAAAGAGAAAAGATTCTACTTTGCTACTTTGCATTATTTAATTTAGTATGGATTCTAGGGGCACTAAGCTATTTTTGAAGTACAACCTACTCAAGAAATTGTAATTTTTCTTTGCATGAACAGCTCAGCTAGGTAAAAACTGACATTCGCAAATAAATAAATTTATTGATATTTTTAGTCTTGGTACAATTTTATGTTTTCCGTGTCTTGCCAGTCATGAATGTCCATTTTTAAATAGATTTTTTTTTTTCTATCTCCATCTCTGCTTGATAAAAACTGGCATTTTTGAAATAAGACATAATATATTTGCTATTTTTAGACTTTGCCCAATTTAATAAATTTATTTCTAATGCATCTGTCTTTACATAAATTAACTTTAGAACACTGTCCAGATATTGGGAGTACTTAATTATTTAATAAATTCATCAATGTAGTGCTTCTGCAAATTCAAATATGGTTTGTAGAAAATAAATCTAAGTAAGACAATGTGTAACATACCCGCCTGGATTTACTCCTATTGTATTAATACTTTTGATTGACTCTTACAAAATTATTAAAAATAATTTTGGAAGTTTCAAATAAGTAAATATACATGAAAAATAAGTTAAACTTATTAGATTTCAAATTCATAAAAAATAAACATGGTATTCTATGACTACTTACAATTATAAATATTGATTTTGATAGCTGCAGTCATCATTGTTGGCATAGGTCATTTTGTAAGACTATCTAAAAGTTTCCCAGCTGTTTTTGCTACTTTTGGCACACATTTTGCCTCTTTAAATCTCTTCGACACTCATCTGCATTGACTGAAAGATGCCTGCTAACCATTCTTGTCCTTGACTTTCCCATCCAAGACTCAGCATTGTCCCTAGACTGTCAATGTGAAAGCCATAAAGCACAAATGAGAAAATTTAAAATTATTAGATTCACTCTGATAGATGTCAGGTTAGATGGCCCTGAAAGGAGCAAAAGTCAATGTGTGACAGTCCTTGCAGTGCAAAACGTTTGCCCCAGTCTGCCTATCTCCACATCAGAAAAGGGGGAAAATAAATGCCTCCTAAGAAGCTTGTCAACAGTGATGGCTTTCTCAGCTGCTAAGGATTTCTCAAGATTGCTCTGACTCACAGCATCACTGCTTTAATTAGAATTTGGACATCTATGATTTCCTAAAACTTATCATGATTTTTCTTTTTCTTCTTATGTTGTATATGTTTTGTGACTTTATTTATATATTTATTATTATTTTGTATCTCTTGTCAAAAATAATACATTTTAAAATTGTCTTGTATATCTGTTGGCATAGGCTGGTTTACACTATGGAAAACACTAACCTTGAAATCTGAGGGGCTTATAAAACAAAGATTTATGTCTTACTTATTCAGTCTTTCCAACACATGTTGTGGGAGCACAAGTTGAGAGAAGACTTTGCCTTCGTTTTAAACCAATGGGCCTTTACTATTTCAACAGTGGAATTCATGGTTTTCCACAGTAGGAGATGAGAGAGAGGGAGAGACAGAGAGTGGAACAGAGAGAGAGAGATCATAGCACAAATACAAATAAATATCCTAACCATGTGGATTCTACCACAATCCATTGTCCAGAATTGGTCTCAGTGCTCTGCCTATTTTTTTTTTTTTTTTTTTTTTTTTTTTTTTTGAGACGGAGTCTCGCTCTGTCGCCCAGGCTGGAGTGCAGTGGCGGGATCTCGGCTCACTGCAAGCTCCACCTCCCAGGTTCACGCCATTCTCCTGCCTCAGCCTCCCAAGTAGCTGGGACTACAGGCGCCCGCCACTACGCCCGGCTAATTTTTTGTATTTTTAGTAGAGACGGGGTTTCACCGTTTTTTAGCCGGGATGGTCTCGATCTCCTGACCTCGTGATCCGCCTGCCTCGGCCTCCCAAAGTGCTGGGATTACAGGCGTGAGCCACCGCGCCCGGCCTGCTCTGCCTATTTGTAAGAGAGTCAGAGGCATGGGGATCTTTCTATAGCCTCCAACAGAGAGGAGAATCACATACAGCTGGGCATTAGACTCTAACACTATTAGGACAACTGGCTATTTGCTTTGACCTGTATTGCATTTTGACTAACAGAACTACAACAGAGCTCTTCACATTGTTTTTGCTTTGTTTGTTTTCATAATTTTAATATGATATGCATTATACTAACCAGAAGACTGGGTGTCTATCATTTTCAGTGTATGAAAAATGTTACAGGAGATTTCAAGGACCCCCTTCTATTAAGAGGAAGACTCCCTTTATCCCTTCAGAGGATATGATTCCCCTGGGCAACATGATAGGAATTAGGAGGAAGACGTCATGGAATACATCCTAGACATTACTTAAGATGCAGAATATAGATTTAGAGTTTGAAAAAATTTTGCATGAATTTGTGGAGGATGTGTCATTTCATGTATACCATGTCATTTGATGGACAAATAACTGAAATTTCAGGCTTAGAATCATACGTGATAGGCTCTACCATATATTATTATAGAAATTATTTTTTAAGGCATAAACTAGTTGGGATTTTAGCACTAGTAGAAAATAGACACAGTGCTAAGTGTTCTAACAAAATGTATGTGTATATACACATATTTAACAACCAAGTTTGATAACGACTTAAGTCTCACTGACGTTGCTATTTGTATGTGTTGAGCATCTACTATACACTAAGTCAGTGTTGGATATTGAAGACAAGGTGGTATGTAAAAGACACGACTCCTAAAATATTACAGTGTATAGTTTGATGCAAGATAGTTGTCAACAGATTAATATCACCACTACATAGCCTAGCTTCGTAGATCAAGGACATTCAGCTAGGGGAGAAGCAGATATTATCTAACATGGTTTACCTGTGTCCCCATCCACATCTTATCTTGAACTGTAGTTCCCATAATCCCCATCTGTCATGGGAGAGACCCAGTGGGAGGTAATTGAATCATGGGGGCAGTTACCTTCATGCTATTCTTCTGATGGTGAGTGAGAATCACCATGATACCAGATCTGATGGTTTTACAAGGGGCTTTTCCCCTTTTACTAGGCACTTCTTGTTGTCACCCTGTGAAGAAGGACATGTTTCCTTCCTCTTCTGCCGTGAATGTAAGTTGCCTGAGGCCTCCCCAGCCATGCTAAACTGTGCGTCAAATAAACCTCTTTCCTTTATAAATTACCCAGTCTCAGGCAATTATTTATAGCAGTGTGAGAGCAAACTAATACACTATTGTGAACCCCAAATATCTGAGACAGGTTTCAGTTAATTTAGAAAGTTAATTTTACCAAGGTTGAAGATGTGCAACCATGACAAAGCCTCGGGAGGTCCTGACAACTTGTGCCCAAGGAGTCAGAGCACAGTTTGGTTTTATACATTATAGGGAGACATGAGACATCAATCAACATATATAAGATGAACTTTTGTTTGGTCCAGAAAGGTAGGAAAACTCAAACAAAACGCAGGACAACTCAAAGCAGGGAGGAGGCTTCCAGGTCACAGGAGATAAGAGTCAAACGGTTGCATTCTTTTGAGGTTCTGAATAGCCTCTCCAGAGTAGGCAATCAGATATGCATTTATTTCAGTGAACAGAGAGGTTACTTTGAATAGAATAGGAGGCACTTTTGTCCCAAGCAGTTCTCAACTTGACTTTTCCCTTTAGCTTAGTGATTTTGAGAACCGAAGATGATTTTGCTTTGACATTATCTATCTGCAAAGCTGTGCTGGAAAGAGAAGGGATAAAGCAGTAAGTACCCAACATCTTTTGGGAACTAAATAATAAATTTAAGAAACAACTAATTTTAGAGCTCTCAATAATTATTTAGATTTATTTTTAAGAAGTGAAATCTCTATGTGTCAATGATAAAACTCAGAAAATATGTCCTGGATATAAGAAAGTGGAAAACAACAGAAGGAGGTACACAAAGTTAGTAACACAATAATAATGATCTATCACAGGTCAAGTTCTCCCTGAAGGAGACCCTAAGCCAAGAACTTGGGTGTATGTGTTTTATTAACGATGTGTTTCCAGAAAATTCCAGTAGAGAAAAAGCATGATAAGGAAAGAGGAAGAAGACAAACCAAGCAAAAAACCCACCAATTTTTAAAAGTTTATATGTCTATGCTGATATTTCCATTTTAAGTATTTTTCTTAACTTTTCTGTAATTTGAGAAAATATTATAAAAATTATTAATTTTCAAATTGTTTTTAAGATAGTTTTAAGCTATTTTTAAAAATTTTTATTTTTACAAGGTTTATATGACCTTTTTCTACAGTGTTCAAATTAAACTGCTGTCCAAATTTAGTGATCTCTATTTTTTTTTTTTACTTTCCTTTTCTGCATTCATTTTTTTAACCCTGACTCAAGCATCCTGGATACAACTTCATGCATTTACTTCTAGATTAATCATTTTATTATCAATGAAACCAATTGCTAGGTATGGGTGGGAAAAGGAAGTTTTCTACATAGGAATTATAAATAATACAGAAACACAGTACACCTAATTTTCACATAAAATTTCATATAATCAGGTGAGTAGTGAAATTAAAGACATAAAACAAAAGGCGTTGAGGTTTCTGTGTGAAATTCATCATTAACTCCTCGTTTTACAAGCACCAAGCTCATCTTCAATGAGGCAACTTTAGTGTTAAAGTATAATTTGTTTTAGAAAGTGGGCAAAGAAGGATGTTTATTATCTTGTTCCATTTTAGTATCTCAAAAGACAATTTATTTGTTGGTAAGTAGTACCCAACAAATTAAAAACTTTTCTCAAAAGTATTAAATTAAAAAAAATCCATAATTCTTTATTTATAAATAATTTTAAAATATATTTTGATAGAAACATTGCACTCACAGGTCCTTATTCACATTTCGTTTAGTTATTCTTTGATATATTCATAAGTAAATTTCAGGAGTTGGCTAAAACTCAGAATTTTTATTTCCACATAAAAGAGGGAAGATAATTTGTCAGGAGATGGGCATAAAATTTTAGTGCAAATATTCATAATTTTATGGATCAAAACATGCTCTGTTTTCACCTTTACACTCAGCAGTAATGCGAAGGTCACCATCAAGAAAGTAAGCTCAGTCACTCTAATGATTTTGTTAGAGTAGGTAGACAAGCAGATACCAGCAGGGCACCACGGGCCCCAAAGAATGTCAGGAAACAGGTGACTATCAGGCGATTGTAAGGTAGCTGGTGACAGGGAGGGGAAATTTCCTAACAAGGAAATATCTTGAGCTTGTGGGCAACAACTTTCCGATTAGAACTTAAAATGGCAGAGTTTGACCTTCCGCTGAGGACATGCCCAGGCTTGCACAGTAAGGGGCAAAATGGTGGAGCTTGACATATATATGACCTTCCTCTGGGGGCGCTAGGCTGGTAAGGGAAAATTGCTCTTAGAGAGCATGCGCCTACCTTCCACCAACAAATAGCGCATTTGGCTCCTCCCAAATGCCGGCAATGCTGCACATGCCGCGAATGGCCAACAGCCCACCCAAGGGGAAGGACAAGAGGAAGAGACCAGGATGAAAATAGTAACTGTGTAAAGGGCCTGAGCCAAAGTTTGGGCAAGCACTCAGTTTTTGGAGTTGTCCGCTTCATTCCCTCCAAGCGTACTTTTCTTTGCTTCAGCAAATTCTTGTGTCTGCCTTAAATGTACTGTCTTTGGGCCAAATTATCTTTTCCCAAGAAGACAATGACTGAGGACTGAGGATCCCTTCCAGAGTCGCACCAATACCCACTTTTTGTAATTTGATAGATAAGGCCCAAAGCCAGTGTGAGGTTTAGTTTTGCCAAAACCCAAATGTACCAAGCAGGAGTAGGTGTTGCCATGTAGATACACGTGGGCTGTGCCCAGACATGTATGGTCTCTAAACTCTGTTCTCCTTGTGTCTAAGTGATTCACCCTTCACTCTCTTTAACAGGAAAAAAAATACCATACGTACATTTTTTTATTACCTAATATACCACATCACTTTGAGATACCTACTTCAAGATAGTTTTTATAAAACCCTCAGTTATTTTAATTTGCATACAGAAACAAGTTTAGTTTAGCAGCTAGGTAATAAATCATTTAACTTGATAGTTGCTGCTCAGATAGAATAGAAATATTTATCTAACTTTATTAGCCAGGTTTTCACATGAAAATTTATTCACATGAATATTTTTCTTTTTTCATCTGCATAAAAATGTCTAATGTATAAGTGTATATTAATCCCTTCAACATACGGTGGATGAAAACTATCAACAATCTTTTTCTAGTCATAAATATTTACTCATGGCCTATATGTCTAGTCATATTTACGACTAGAGGATGATTTTATTTCTACTTAAACATAGCTAAAATAACCAATTTTATTATTTAATAGTAATCCTAATTAAGGATACAAACTGAAATCCCCAATCTAATTAATAACTGTCGGTTGAATGGTATTTTAATTTTGCTAAATATGTTGAAGAGCTTCGCAAAAAATTACTTAGGGATATAAACAACTTGTCCACCTTCAAGTAGATGTATCTTATTACATCAAAAATCCCTTGAAGAATTCTTAAACATTAATTGGGAAAATTAGATCTAGAGACCAAAATAAGTCACATATCTCCAAGGAATGTAAGTAGTTTAATAGTCTAGAATCAGCAAAATGTCCTTTATAGCACAGCACGTCTTTATTTGCCTGTTTTCTGGTCAGCATACTGATTTCTTCATATTTTAAGACTTCCTTGCCACGAACATATGGTTTCACAGCTATTAATATTTATTTGCAAACTAAAAGAATGTAGTTATAGTTTCCAAAATAAATCTCATAGAGTTGAATTCTAATTGCTTTACAATAGTCTTTGTGTATAATTTTCTGTTTAGTCTAAGCAGTTTGTAAATATTTCTTATTTGCAAGTAGATAATAGTTCAACATTCTCACTTTATGTAACTAAGTGTGTCAGTTCACGATTGGTTTCCTCTAATATATATCTATTCTACTTTTTAATTATCAGAGGTTTTGTGGAAATATATCTCTTCAAAAAGTTTATATATTATAATCTAAGCAGTTTCTGAAATGTTAAGAACAAGAATTTGTGAAGCAAATTAAATGACAAACTTATGCAAAGATAGTTTTCTCAAGAATTTTGAAATTATCTACTGGTTGATAAGGTCATTTTAGCCAAGGTAAATATTCTCAGGATCAATTTTCCCCTTCCTTAGCCTTTCAGAGTATAGACCATTTAATTGAGATTTTATTCTTTTTCTTACCACTTTCATTTAAACATTTTAAATGTTGTTTATATTATTCAGAGGCACATATCTTTCTGATAGTTTAACTTGAAAGTTCAATTAAGTTATCAATAGTTTTCTTTTTGTAAGACTTTTATCCTTGTGCCTTGGCGACAATTTCCTTCATGATTTCACTGGCAAATTGATATTGCCATTTTAAATGAAGCTTAATGTAAGAGTAGAATGTTATAAGGAGGCTTGATTTTTTTAAAATAAAGTGGGATCATATTTCCAATGGCTTGTGCTCCCACAATGTAATTTGGGAAACTTCTCACTATTGTGGGAATTTTCCTTTCAAACTTCTAGAATAGAAGGAAAATGTGTCATAGTCTTTCCCCTCTCTGATTAGGGATCCTTGAGGATTTAAGTCGTCATTTAATCCTCCTTCCCCAATAAACTCAAAAAGTTCTATTCCCATTTTAAAATATGAGGATCCAATGGAACTTAACATGTGAAGAATAACGCATCTGTAGTTCACTGTAGAAATTGTTGACCATTGTGCAACTGCAATTGGTAAGTCAGTGATATTGACATCATGCCGCACTGCTGGGAAATGGGAGCTATTCCTGTAGCCCTGATGTGGCTGCTACTTGCCTAGAAAACATAAAACCTAAGGGAATCCCAGAACTTCACTGAATAAAGGTGGTCCATACCTCCTACTCACACCTGTGAAGACCAACTGCATCCAAAGTGCAGAAGGACTCAAAGGCCTCACCTGGGACTCATGAGTCTTCCACTTTGCCCTTGATATTCCTGCTGTGTGAGTTGACAGAAATATTTTCTTAAAGAAAGAGAAAAAACAGAGTAAATTTGTGAGTTTTGAGGCTTCTATAGAGTTAGTAGGGTTATGGGTAAATATGGAGCAAAAGACTTTGCTGTTAGTAAGTGGAGTGAGAATCAGTTTGCTTTTGTCCTTGCAGATAAATTGTTTATTCACCTGGTAGTTTGAATAAAACATGTTTGTTTTCATTCAAATTTATTCAATTTTTTTTGGTATATCCAAACAAAGCAAATTTGAGAGGTCTTCAGATTAAAGTCTTTTTTTTTCCAAAAGATTTATTTCTTTTATATATTTGACTATTTAAAAAATCTACTTGATTTATTTTTTCCAGATAAGAAAGTCATGTGTAGTCTCCCGTGTCTTTCCATCACATTTACCATCTTGCAATTTTTATCTTGTTTCCAGTTTCTCTGAATTCTCGGCAACTTTGGCAAGCATTTTATTACCGTAGGAGCCAGCTTTTCTTCTTCATTCTCCTTTCTTGCCCATGCTGTACTGAGCTTATAAGTGTTTATTTTTTAATTTTTAATTTGATTAATTAATTTTTTTCTTCTACAAGAAGGAATATTCCATATGTTTAGTTGGTTTTTCTCCTTACAGTTTGTCGAACTCATTTGTAAATGAAGAAGAATACCTCAATCCCTATTGGGGCTACTTCTTTTAGTATACAAAATGTTCGTTAACTTCAAAGTGCTCCAGAACTTTTTGGTGATAAAGTAAGTAGATAAGACAATAAAAGCCCTCCCACTTCTAACTTTTTTTGTTTCTTGTTTTTTAATGACGTTAATAATTTTCTCAGCATAGTTGACTTCACTGATCTTAGAAATTCAACAATATGCTCCTGAATGACCAGTGAGTCAATGAAGAAATTGAACAGTAAATGGAAAATTTTCTTGAAACAAATGATAATGGAACACCACATACCAAACTCTGCGAGATACAGTGAAAGAAATACCAATTGGCCAGTTTACAGCTGTAAGTGCCTCCATCAGAAAAGAGGCAAAACTTCAAATGAGCAATCTAATGATGCTCAGGTAACATCAGAATGTATAAATACCAAAAATAAACACTTAACAATATCATAATTAAATTGTAGAAAACCAAAGACCAAGATTAAATTTTATTTATTTATTTTAATTGTTATGGGTTGATAGTAAGTGTATATATTGATGAGTTACATGAGATACAGGTATGCAATACATAGTGATCACATCAGGGTAAATGCAATGTGTAGTAATCACATCCATCATCTCAAGCATTTATCCTTTTGTGTTACAAACAATCTAATTCTATATGTAGTTATTTAAAAATGTACAATTAAATTATTTTTGACTATAGTCACCCTATTGTGCTAGGAAATACTACGTCTTATTCATTCTTCTAACTATATTTTGTACCCATTAACCGTACCCAGTTTCCCCACCACCCCCCACTACACTTCCCAGCCTCTGGTAACCATTCTTCTACACTCTATCTCTATGAGTTTAATTATTTATATTTAGTTTTATGTTTAATTTTTGAGATGGAGTTTCGCTCTTGTCCCCCGGACTGGAGTGCAATGGCACCATCTCTGCTCACTGCAACCTCCACCTCCTGGGTTCAAGTGATTCTCCTGCCTTAGCTTCCCGAGTAGCTGGGATTACAGGTTTGTACCAGCATACTTGGCTAATTTTCGCATTTTTAGTAGAGACGGGGTTTCACCACGTTGGCCAGGCTGGACTCAAACTCCTGACCTCAGGTGATCCACCTGCTTTGGCTTCCCAAAGTGCTGGGATTACAGGCGTGAGCCACTGCACCTGGCAAATTATTTTCATTTTTAGCTCCCACAAATAAGTGGAAAGAAATGCAAAGTTTGTCTTTCTGTGCCTCACTTATTTCACTTAACATAATGATCTCCAGTTCCATCCATGTTGATGCAAATGACAGAACTCATTCTTGTTTTTTATGGCTGAATAGTACTCCATTGAGTATAAGTACCATATTTTCTTTATCCATTCATCTAACTGATAGATACTTAGGTTGATTTCAAATCTTGGATATTGTGAAAAGTGCTGAAACAAATGTGGGAGTCCAGATATACCTCTGATATACTGAGTTCCTTTCTTTCAGATATATACCAAGAAATGGGATTGCTGGAGTGTATGGTAGCTCTATATTTAGTTTTTTGAGGAACTCCAAACTGCTCTCCGTAGCGCTTATACTAATTTATATTCCCACCAAGAGTGTATGAAGTTCCCCTTTTCTCCATATCCTCACCAATATTTGTTATTCTCTGTCTTTTGGTTAAAAGCCATTTAAATTGGCGTGAGCTGATAGCTTATTGTAGTTTTCATTTGCATTTCTCTGATGCTCAGTGATGTCTAGCACTTTTTCAAGCCATGTTAAGGATCGTAGATTTTGACGACGGGTTGATGGGTGCAGCAAACCACCATGGCACGTGTATACCTACTTAACAAAACTGCACATTCTGTACATGTATCCTGGAACCTAAGATAAAAATAAAAGATTATAGATTTTATCTTTGTCTGTGTCATGACCAAATCATATCTACACATGTGTACAATAGACAATAATAAAGACTTATGTTGTTGGAATGAGAAAGAATCTATGAAAAACCTATGTAAAATAATCTGACCTAATGGCAAAAAAATTACATGAGTTCAGGTACACAATCGGTAGCCCATTATTTCCTTGGATACCCTTAAAATTCTTACATCTTTATTTAAATCCTAACGTTAATCAGTATCTTTAGACACAAACCAATAAAGTCGGAAAGTCTTAAATTTCACCTGCTTTAATTTAATTTATATGCAGTCTCTAGCTAGTATTTTAATTTAATATCAACTTTTAAAATATTAATATATGATTTACAAGCATAAATATGCATATTAAAAATAAATGCATTTGATGGATTTTCACTAAGTGAACCCAGATCTAAAAACACAATTGAACCAGCATCTCACAAAACTCTTTCTTCTGCCCCATTCTATTTCATTCAGTAGCCCTCTAGGGCAACCACCATACTAATTTTAACAACATAATTTTGATAAGTTTTGTAGATTACACAAATGGAATAATTTGGTACGTTTTCTCTTTTGTCTTTTTTTAAGTCGGTAATTTATTTGTGGCATTCATACATATTCTTGCATGAAGTTAGAGTTTATTAATTCTCACGTCTATGTATGTATCATTACGAAAATATACCACGATTTATTTATCCAGTCTGCTGTTAGTGGGCAGTTACTGTTTCAATTTGAGGCTATTCAATGATCACTAGTAATAAAATTCTATGTTAGTATTAATCTGCAACCATGATTATTGAATACATGTCTCATAGTGAAAAAAAAGTGAAGCAGTGAAAAAGAAACATTACTCAGAAGATAGAGCTGAGATCCCAGAAGACAGAGCTGAGAGCCATGGATGATTATTTTTAGGTCTTGAAATCTAATGCAGTTTGCTCAGCTGGATTTCAAAAGTGTTTTGGACCAGAACATCTCAGAAAGATAATATACCATGATGAAATGGAATTTATCCCAGGGATGCAAGAATAGTTGAACATATGCTAATGAATAAACGTGATACATCACATTAACAGAAAGAAGGACCAAAACTACATGAGTTTCCCAATAAATGCAGTAAACGTATTCGATAAAATTCAACATTCTTTCATGACAAACCCCGCTTTAAAAGTAGCTTTCAGCTTGCAATTTATCATATTACATGGATATTTTGACTCTAGCTTCAAAATCATGTAGAATTCGGCTTGTGATCATAAACTCATAATGCATAAAGTGTCAATTTTTGTTTCCTTCAGGATTGAGTACAAGCCTATGGCACAATTTGCTTAACCCCATGGAGACATGCTTCCATTTAATTGTATCATCAGTTTAATCTTACCTTCCTTCCAACTGAAAATACTTCACAATTTTGTCAATGTATTTAAAATTCAGCAAACTTTTCCACTGTGTTCTATCAGGGGAATTTTTGCATACACCTGGATCCACTAAGGGGATTGATTCTCTTTATAAGAACTTTGTCATTGATTATATTTATGTCCATACTCGTATCTTTGTTTACATCTATGTATTAATGTCCATAGCCATAACCATGTCTACCTATCTTATTCAACTGATGATTAATTTATAATGGATATTTAAAAACGTTTTTGGATTACCTAAATACCATAAACGTGTTGATGATTCTCATATTTTGGTATTTGTATCTTCCATTTATTTAGCTCTGTTAATTTGAGAAAGCCACTTTTCTCTCCCAGTTTCATCTGTTGCTTCATCAGTATAATTAGAATAACAATATCTCCTAACAAAATCACAGGGTTTTATTGAAGTTTCAAATAAGATAGCATATTGAATCAGCTTTGAAAATGCTGGCATGCAAATGCAGCATTATTGTTGATATAAAGAAAGTAAATGAAATTATTTTATAATCCCTAATGTTACCCTTGAATCTCTGAGCTATTCTGCTTCAAGGCGTTTTCATTTTTCTTTAATGGGCGTTTTTTTTCCAGGGAACAAGAGTTTGAAACTGAGAACTGATGATTATTATCTGCTGAGAGCTAAAATAAAAGAATGAGGACTTTAGGTTAATGCACTATCAAATGGTGAAGATGCATATTTTCATCTTCTTTAATCATCCTCTCTTTGTGAGTTGAAATGGAGAATCATCATGCTGTACATAGTTTATATGTTAACATCAAATATAGTCATATGATTTTATTAAACATCCTCCTATACATTCTGTTTGCATTCATTTTCATCCTAACTACATCTTAGGTAATATAGTCATACCCTAATAAATTATAGTTAAGACTGCAATTCTCTCTCACTATTGTTTATAATGATTTAAATTTTAGAGAAAACTTAAAGTGTATGCAATATAGAATATTTTATCAAAAAGTCAAAAATACACATATAAACACTGAAAGAAACAACTGATATTAATTTCCTATATTTCATGTATAATCAGTGATAAATTGTCTTCTGTGAGCTCACACTTCTGATGTGTGCATTGCAGGAAACTTATTTGCAAAATGGGGCTTGCTGGCATACATTTTTATAAAACATATCACTTTATGTAGTATAATAACAATAATTGTTATACCTATAAATAAATTTCTTGGCTGGGCACTGTGGCTCATGCCTGTAATCCCAGCACTTTTGGGAGGCAAAGGCAAGTGGATCGCTTGAGCTCAGGAGTTTGAGAACAGGCTCAGCAACATGGCAAAACCCTGTTTCTACTAAACAATACAAAACCTAGCAGGTGTTGTGGCATGCACTTGTGTTCCTAGCTACTTGGGAGGCTGAGGTGGGAGGACAGCTTGAGCCTTGGAATCTCATCACTGCACTCTAGCCTGAGGAACGGCATGAGACCCTGTCTCAAAAAGTAAAGAGATAAATAGGTACTAAAGAAATAAATAAATTTATTTTGATGTACTATCTATCCAACAATTAACAACAGCAGCAACAACAACAAGAAAAAGCTTTTGAACTCGTGAGATTTACAACAAGATAAATCTAGAAATGCCATGATTATCAGTTGAGAGAATATTTCCCTGCTTATTTGTTCTCTTAGCTTTCTATTTTGAAGTAAATTCAGGTGAAAAAAATTATTTTAAAAAGGCACAAAAATTCCTACATAACCTCAGCCATATTCCCCAAATAGTGTGTTTGACACGTTTCGCTTATTCCCTTGTCATCCCTACTGTCTTTCTCACGATATGTTGTGTTTCTCTAGAGAAACCTATTTAATATAGAAGTTGTAAAATATCAAGCAGTCAAAGAAAGGATGAGTAAGTTAGGTAGATGTAAAGAATTGAAAGTTAATTGGAAGAAGACGTTTTCAGGCCCAAATGGAGTGAGATGGGCATGGAGCCCGCCACATTGGTGTGCTAGAGAGCATGTAGAGAATGTCCCCGTATGTGATTCAAGAGAGTACAAAATACAGGGAAGAGCAGTAGAAATAGATTCACTTTTATATCTCCATGTTGAGGTCTAGCAAACCAGAATGTGACTCTGTATCCTGTAACACAGAAAAATACTCAAAACGCTAACGAAATAAACATAATGCAGGTAAAGAGTTTGCTACTGGGACTACGAGGCCCGGCACATTCAGTAGCCCCGTACTTGGGATTTGCCGCAAACAACATGGCACATTGATTGTGCTTTGAGAAGTTGTGCGTAATTCCAGGAACATAAAAGGAAAACAGAAGGGGTAATTCAGTTCAAATTTGAAAAACCTCTGTCTGATAAGGGGTTAATATCCAAAATGTATAAGAAGCTCCTGCAATGCAATAGCAAAAACTCAAATAACCTGAAGACATACAACTGGCCAAAAGGTGTATGAAAGGATGTTGAACATCACTAATCCTGCGGTAAATGCAAATCAAAATCATAATGACGTATCACCTCACACCTGTGAGGATGGCCATTATAAAACAAACAACAACAACAACAAGAAAAAACAAAACAACCAGGGAAATAGCAAATATTGGCAAGGATGTGAAGAAATTGCGATCTTTGTGCACTGCTAGTAGGAATATAAAATGGTGCAGCTTCTCTGAAAAACAGCATAGACGCTCCTCAGAAAATTATAAAAAGAGCTCCCCTACGGTGCAGCAATTCTACTCCTAGGTATTTATCCCAAAGAACCGAAATCAGAATATCAAAGACGTAGTTGCCCTCCCATGATCATTGCAGCGTTATTCACAATAGCCAAGAGGTGGAAATAACCTAAATGTTCACTGATGGATGAATAGATTTAGAAAAATATGGTACATTCATGCAATGAAATATTATTCTACCTTAAAAAAAGAAAATTCTGTCTTATGCTAACATTGCTGTATTTTGAGAACAAAAGTACAAACATGGCATGATTCCACTCACATGAGGTAACTTAAATCGTCCAAATCATGGAAACAGGAAGCAGAATGGTGGTAGCCGGGGGCGGGGTGGCAAGGAAAAGTGAAATGGAAAGTTGCTGTTCAGTAAGCATAGCGTTTTAGTAAGGAAAGATGGAAAAGCTTTATAGATGTGATATACAAGAATATGTATATAGTTAACAATATGTATTCAACACTTCAAAAATTTTTAAGAGGGTAAATTTCACATTCTGTGTTATATTTACCACAAAAAATACAATTACTGAGTTTTGATGTCCAGCTAGCTAGGAAGTTACAGGGCTTGGAGTAAATGAATTTTGATTAAAATAAAAAAATATGTATGTGCACCCTAGTGTTTTGAATTATACCTTCATACCTAAAGTAAAAATTATTCTAAATTGATTTTCACTATGGTTGGCTGATTTGAAAACTTTTCCTTCCAATAGTAGGAAACTGTTACTACTTACTCAAATACTACTTGCCCAAATTAGATTATATAGACAGGATTGAAATAACTAATAAACTGAATAATGTAGTACATGCCTATATATCTTTATCTACATATCTATACACATACACATATACACACACTGCACATGGTTAACTTCTCAACAGATAAAATATCCAAGGACGATTTGCACATGTTGACCCAATGTTGACACAATAATCTTATAATTAATCAATATTAACAATTAGAAACCACATATGCTGTTTTCCAAACAATATTAATTTACAAAGCTAGGTAATTTCCACTTGGGAGACTTCAAAATCAAATCCATACCACTATATTACTTGAGCTTAATTGAAATTAAAACTGAGAGTAACAACAAAAAAGTATCATACTTACAACATCACATCATATGCTGATGTGGGCAAAGAATCAATTAGATCAAATTCATAACTTATAGTCTATGTCCTGGAACACAAGGACGAAAATCCAATTTAATGTTACTGTTCCATTCAAAAAGGACAAAGGAGTGATAACGGAAAAATTCATTCAAAGGGTAAGAATAATAAAAATACAAATTACATTATTAATAAATAAGATAGAAACAAAGCCAACAAAACATCAGTGTGTTGAATAAAACTAAAATTTATTACTATAAATATCAATAAAGGTAACAACATTTTGGCCAGTATATGTAAGGAAAAAAGTGAAAGAAAAAGGATTGAAATACAGAAGGAATGAGAAAATTTGTAATGAGATGTCTGAAGGGGATAAACATTATAAATGAATACACTACAAATTTATGCCAGTAAATGTGAAAAATAAATGATTGCTGTTTCAGAAATATCCAAATTATCATATCAACCAAAAAAGTTATTTTTTTTAGAACAATGATTCCAAAGATAAGTTTTGAAAAGTCAATATTTTTTCTGAAATGACCAGGCCAATATTATTTCATGGATGTTTTCTTACTAAACTTCAAGGATCAGATAAGTTCTATATTTTATAAACTCACCGTTACTCGACTCATTTTGAGAAGCTACTGCTGTGGCTCTGAAAATTGAGTGTACATCTGAGTCACCTACTGGGCTTGCAAAATCTCAGATCGCTGGCACCAACTCATTATGTCTCATCAAGTATTCTGAAAGAGACCTAATGATTTCTTATTTCTAACAAGTTCCCAGGTGATGATGATGCTGCTGATCCAGAAACCTGGATGTCCAAACTAGGCAACATATAGACTAATCGTAATGCTAAGCACCAGTGCAAAATATTATTTGAATGTTGTCTATTTGATTCTGCTTGTGTTTCCCTTATTTAATAAATGACACAGCTTTGGTTAAATTAAGTATTTGTTTATAATTTAAAAAAAAAACTTTCCACGCTAAGACTGCAGAGCTTATTTAACTTGGTAAGGGGTATGTATTACCAATTTGCTGTAAATATATATTTAGTAATAGAACAGATAAAATTCTCATTTAATTGAAAGATTAGCATCTATTTGTTGTATTAGGGAAATAAGAAAATGTAAAAAACTAGAAAAAGTCATGAGATGTATGTAATGGAAAATAATAACAAATCTGTTTTACCTATAAATGATACATATATCTTCCCAGAACATCCAAGATAATCAACAGGAGAAGGATTAGAACGAACATGAGATTTGAATTGAGGTACTCACATTTAAAAAAAAGCTGAAGACATTCATGACTTCTTAAAAATAAGTAGTACCTAATTTGGAAATGTGATAGAAAAATATTTTATTCATAACCACCCCAAACATGTAACATTACTGAAAATCATAAGTACCTGATGAAAGGAAGGAACAGGCATATCAAGTTGTTGGAAGAGAAAAGGAATTGCAAAGACATCAATTTTTTATGTATCAATCTAGATTATTGATGTAATCTCAATTAAAAACACAACAGAGAATTATGGAGCTTACTAACTTGATTGAAAATAATCCATAGCAAAAAGATATGTTGTTGAGTTTGTTTGGTTCACAGAATTAATAGTAATTATATATCTTAGCACTGGTCCCATCTTCACAAATTTCAAATATAATAGCAAACCCTTAAAGTCAAATATAACAATATCACTTTACAAAATGCTGATGTGCTAATTCAACACAATTACTCAAACAAAAGCATCTCCCCAGTGAGATATCACCTCTCACCTAGGATGGGTATTACCAACAAGATAAAAGAAAACAAATGTTGGCAAGATGTGGGCAATAGGCAGCCCTGTACACTGTTGGTGGGAACGTAAACTCGTACAGCCATTATGAAAAACAGCGTGAAAGTATCCCCCAAAATTAAAAATAGAACATTATCCAGCAGTCTTGCTTCAGGGTATATGTCCAAAGAAAATAGAACCAGTATGTTGAAGAGATATCTTCACACTTATGTTCATTACAGTGTTATTCTAATAGCCAAGAGGTAGAAACAATCTAAATGCCCCTTGAGGGATGAAAGGATGAAGAAAATTTGACATATAAGTAAAACTCACATTCCCAGTGGAATACTATTCACCTTAAAAAAGAAGGAGCTCCTGTTACAACAACAGGGATGAAGCTTGAGGGCATTATGCTAAGTGAAATAAGCCAGACAAAGAAAGACACATACTGTGTAATCTCACTTATGTGTAAAATCAAAAGCAAGTTGAACTTACAGGAGTAGAGTAGAATAGTGGTGGCTAGGGGCTGGTGGGAAGGGTAATTGGAGAGATATTGGACAAAAGGTACAAACGTTTACTTATATATAAAACGAATAACTTCTGGAGATATAATAAATAGTAGGGTAATTATAGTCACTAACATTGCAGTGCATATTTGAAATTTGATAAGAGCAGATTTTAAGAGTCCTCACTTCCCCACATACAGATGGCAACCGTAGGTGGTGATGGATTTGTTAATTAATATGATGGTAATAATCAATATGCAATGCATACATATATCAAATCATCATGTTGTATGTAAAATTTTTATTTGTCCATTAAATATTTTAAAACAAAAATTTTGCAAACATGCAACGGTTCTCACCGTTTGTGAAAGGTACATTTTGTGTGTTGATTTTTATTACTGGTTTATATATTTCCCTTCACTCTCCCTCTTAGGAAAACAGAACACCAATCCTCAACCTTCATTCCCAGACACAGACACAAAAGGAGTGGTAGACACTGAAATACCTGTGACTCGGGGAACCTGTCCTAGTAAGTGAGGGAAGTCACAATCATTCCCAAGGGTGTTCACTGAGAAAGTGCCTTTGTCCTGCATCTGCAGCCTTGAATGGATGAGGTTCTGGGGCACCAACGGGCATCGTCCATGCTTTGTGGGAACACCAAGGCCCGCACCTAAAGAAACAGTTGAAAGGAGTACCTGGAGTCAGAAAGATGACAGTGTCCTCTGACCACTGCTTTTAGCCACCTTGATAGCTGCTCAAACGAGCTCTTCCCAGTGTGCGAACTGCCTTGTTCCAGTTTTGTTTCATTCCCAGAAGTGAAGGAGTCCTAAGTCACACATCAACACTTTCATGGCCAACCACAGAACAGACACCTAGTTTCACCTTGAGAAAGAAGAAAGATGGGGTAGAAATGACAAAGATTTTCTGATTTCATCTTTACTAGTATGGTAGATACCTGATGAAAATTGTTTGAAATAAAATGGAGAATTGAATAAATTTTAAAAGTTTCTTTATAACAGATTACTTTTAGTATTCTAATATGTAGTCTAATATGTATATATGTATATATGCGTGTGTAGGTATACGTGTGTGTGTATATATGTGTGTGTATATGTGTGTGTGTATAAATATATATATATATGTGTGTGTGTGTGTGTGTGTGTGTGTGTGCATATAGCCTGAAGAAACTGGTAGAGAAGGCAGATTTCAACTTATTTGGAGTACTATTGTGGTAAAATGTTCTAAGAACTAGTATTCCAAGTGTGAGAAATATTAGTACAGAAGATTTCTCATTTATTTCTGTAATGAATTTTACGTTGTCAGATATATATAGCTTTTTAATACAGTGCAAAATACAACTTGCAATTTTATCTGGACATTAGCATCTCCTTTCAAAATGTTATTGATCTGTGGGTTTTTTTCTTAATATGCTTTATCAGGTTTCGGTATCAGAGATGCTTTAGCCTTGTAAATTGATACTGAAAAATTCTTAACTTCATCTATGTTCCAGAGCAAATGTTCTCAGACTTTTTCAGTTCAATGATCCTTTAATATCTGGTAATTTTTTTTCACAGTCACCCTAGGTCAACGTAAATATATAACAATTCTGTTTATCAATAACCAATTCCAAAGCACTTTAATATTGACGTACTAAAACTGAATAGTTGTATTGAAAAATAAAATACAATAGTGTACAAAAATTTAAATAAATTTTGTTGGTTATTCTTAAATAACTACAATTTTTACTAATGGGGTATGAACGACTTTGGGGCTCAACACCTGAAATGAGATTGGAGATGATCACTTGTAGTTGCTGTTCATCAAGAACTTTCGTGGAGTTTTTTTTTTTTTTTTTTTTTTTTTAGTTGGGGTCTTGCTCTGTCGCCCCAGGCTGGAGTGCAGTGGGCGATCTCGGCTCACCGCAAGCTCCGCCTCCCGGGTTCACGCCATTCTCCTGACCCAGCCTCCAGAGTAGCTGGGACTACAGGCACCCGCCACCACGGGCGGCTAATTTTTTGTATTTTTAATAGAGACGGGGTTTCACCGTGTTGGCCAGGATGGTCTCGATCTCCTGACCTGGTGATCCACCCGTCTTGGCCTCCCAAAGTGCTGGGATTGCAGGCATGAGCCACCGCGCCCGGCCCTCTTGGAGTTCTTTATTTGTTATCACAGCAACGACCCAAAAGCTCAGCTTTGGAAAGTTCTGATGTCATGAGAAGGAATGTATCCTCCTCCAATGCTGAAGTTATTATCAAAGTTGACCTACCCGTCAGAATGGGCTTCAACAGAGGTTGGGCGTCACTGAGCTACCTGTGAGAATGTAAAGTATGTTCCACCACGTTCCTCTGAGTTCCCGGGGATGCGCGGGGATACCTTAGCACACCATTTGGAATCCTGGCTTTAGAGAGTTAAAAAATAATAAAAAAATTTTTTCTAAGACTGCTTCTAAGAATTTGATCTTCAAACCTATTGGGAAACTACTGGAGTAACTTCATCGACAGCATAAATGTATATGAAATGTATTCCCAATATAAATATTTCTACATGTGTTTACTGCCTTCATTTCTACGGTTGCTTATTTCTACATTATCACACATTTGTCTTATTACATGCATGTATTAAAGAAATAAACTCTTGCATTATAGTTTTTACCATCAGTTTCTCTCTCTCTCTCTCCCTCTGTCTCTTACTTTAGCTCCTCTCTCTCCATACATGCATCCGCTTATCTTTGCTCTGTGTTGTGATTGCAAGGTGTATACTTCAAGCCTAACTTGTAATTCACCATTTTAATGGTAAGCCTTACTCCTTCTAATATTCAGTATCTCCCCTGATATTTTTCATAGACCACCAATGATATTTTTCAATTCTAGAAAACTTAACAGCCTGATCGTATTTTATGACAGCAGGCTCATGCTATTTTTGACAGAATATTCTTTTGATTATTGTTGAGAAAAACTGATATTAAAAACAATTCTACTAATTCCCAGAGTTACTCTGTTTCAGTGTCTCCAGTTTTTAGTATTAAGAGCCTCAGTTTTGTCATGTTTTTTCAATAGTTTGGTGACAACTGTTCTTTTAACAATATTATAAGGTAGAGTGTACCCCAGAGAGCCGTGTAGGTGACTCTAGTCCAAACCTAATGAGAAAATAAACTTCTTAAAAAGGCAATTTTATTTTTGCCTATTTTTGTGACCCTGTATATCTAAAATTTTTTACTTTCAAAGAGGAAAAGAGACAGAGGAGTGATGCTTTGTTGCAGGCAGCATCTCCTTATTCAGGAACAACCAGCCTTATCTGAGCCAACAGGGACAGAGACTTGATTTCCAACTTGTGGCAGCTCTGCCTTCCAGGCAATTCTCCTCCTGCACCTGCACCCTGTGATGGTAGATGAGTCACACAGCAACTTCTCTGTTCTCTAAAAAGTCTGGGGCTTCTTCAGAGACTTGAGGACCATTGTCCAGACTAACTCAGAGTTGCCAACAGGTTTCCAGTTGGATGGAATCATGTGACATGCTCTTCCTGTGAGTGAATTTTAGTAGTCAGACTTCTCCTGCACTTTAGTTTATGCTCTAAATTTCCTGCTATTATTTCTTAGTGGTTGTGGAATGTAGGTAAGACCTCTACCTAGATTTTCAGTAGTCATAAAAATGATATTTTATATATTAATCATGTATCTCCAGTACAGAGTTTGGAGGAAAAATTCAAATACGCATTAATGTCTGGAACTAGGATGTTTTTCTGTATTTAATATTGTTGTTTCATGGGAAGATTGGTTTAATTTCTTTACACTATATATCAATTATATCATTAATTACATTCCAGCTTACAAAAATCTGAGCTAAATATTTGGAAGTAGGTTCCAGGCTTTGGGAAAACCAGTGCTCTATGTTTATGTTGAATCGCTCCTTATCCTTTGCATTCCTGATATAACGTTGTCTTCAAATTCAATTTCAGCTCTTCTTCAATTTTAGGCAAAATTTTGAAGTACTTCTCGAGTTTGCACTCTCAGTGATTTGAATGTGATTTACTGATTCCATTGCAACGGTAATTTCCTATTGCGCCACATTTTCCGTATTTTTTTTTTTTTTTGGAAAGCTCCCTTTTGATCTTACTTTTCTCTCACTCAGATCTCTTTTTACCGCAGTTTGTGATCTTCTCATTTCATTTTCCGTTGATTGTTGAATAAAATGTAAACACTTACAACATTTAAAAGTAAATAGCAGATTGTCTCTTAAAAATATTTTAATATAAATTTGTTAAAATATGTTCCTGATATGCTTCATAAATCCTATATTTCCTGCTTTCATAATTACACAGATTTTGTTGATATGTACTTACTTACCCACTACTGATGAGATGGTTATAGTCTCAGTGAGAGACACTAGGGACAGCTAAAGAGATTGACAAAAGTTGAATATTGGTGGGAATGTGAACTGATTGCAAGCCTAATACATTACTACAAATTGAGTGCAGATTTTACAATAGGCCCCATCTATGAATCCTGATGATCACATTCTCTATGGCCTGGAAATTCCACATCTTGAAATACGCGCATATATTCATGAAAACACATGTACAATAATCTTCACAGTGGCATTATTTGGACTATTTGACATACCACTCAAATGTCCACCAACAGAAGAAAAGATTTTTTAAACACCTTTGGTGTATTCATACAATCGATATTATACTGCAATGAGAATAAATAAATTCCAATTACATGCAGCCAAGTAAATGGATCTCAGAACTATATTGTCGAGTGAAAGAAGGTAGACACTGAAGAAGACATACTGTGTGCTTCCATTCGTATAATTAAAACAACACAAATCTATGGTTTTAGCAATCATGACAGCAGTTGCCCTTGGATGTGTAATATTCAGAGGGCACGCATATACCCTTTGTTATTCTGTAGTGACTAAGGTTGTGCACAGCCACCATATCACACCAGAGGGTATGGGCAGAGGCTACTGATGTTTAATATTGTTTTGTATGTTTTGTGGTCATGTTCACTTTGTAAAAAATAATGATTTTTATTTATGATATCTGCATTTTCCTTCTCTCTGTCACCTCCTCTATATGTATCTGTACACACATATAAGCATATATAATACTTTAATTGAACATTTACATAAGATAATGCATATTTAAAAACAAACGAACGTCGCCGAATGATTTGAGGCGTAACCTATCAGTTCATACGGCTGAGATGTTTTATGCCTGTGTTGATTTTACTTAGGAGCTCTTTTTAATTGTAGTACCATTTAGCTCTAATTGAATATTTGTTTTAATCCCTGATCATATAAAGTTCTGCCAAATATGTATCTCTTGCCCTTAAGCATTTTTAATTGTAAATTGACTGGTTATAGATGTATATTTTATGGGATATCGAGTGCTTTTACATGTGATTTTATGATTTATAAATACAACATGGAATAGTATCACCTCAAATACTTATCAGTTATTGTACTGACAACATTCGAAATTTACTCTCAGTAATTTATTACTTGCATTATTATTTATTATATTCACCACCCTATCCAATATAGCTCAAAGAAAACAATGTATTCTTCCTAATTGATGCTTTGTACCCTTTGACCATCATCTCCCCATTTCTCTCACCCCCCAGCTTCTGGTAAACACCATTCTACTCTCTGCTTCTTTGAGTTCAATTGTTTTAGGGTCCAAATATAAGTGAGAATGCGACCCAGCAATCCCACTTCCGGGCATTTACTCCAAAAATTTGAAATCAATATGTCGAGGAGGTATCTGCACTCTTAAGTTCATTGCAGTGCTAGTCGTAACATCCAAGTTATGGAATCAATCTAAGTGTCCATCAACAGATAAATGAATAATGAAAATGTGGTGCATATACACAATAGATAACTATTCAGACATAAAAAAGAAATTTTGTCATTTGGGACAACATGGATGGAACTGTAGAACGTGATGCTAAGGGTAAGAATAAGGGTAAGAAGCAATGCACTTGTAAACATACAAGTTTATATACAAGTTTGTGAACACACACACACAGACACACACATACACACACACACGCTCTTTAATCTCCCAACTACCACACAGACTTTATACAAGTGTTGTCTACACACTTTCTTGGTTTTGTTTGTTTTACTTTTTTGAGACAGAGTCTTGCTCTGTTGCCCAGGCTGGAGCGCAGTGGCGTGATCTCGGGTCACTGCAACCTCCGCTTCCTGGGTTCAAGCCTCCCAAATAGCTGGAACTACAAACGCAGGCCACCACAACCGCAAATTTTTGTATTTTTAGTAGAGACAGGATTTTACTATGTTGGCCAGGCTGGTTTCGAACTCCTGACCTCAACTGATTTGTCCACCACCCACCTTGGCCTCCCAAAGTGCTGGGATTACAGGTGTGAGCCACTACACCTGACCTACACACTTTTCATCCACCACTCCTCAACCTTTTCCAACTACAGTTCCTGCCTGCACCATTCCTACCAAACAGCTCTGGCTAAATTCATCTGTGACAGTTATTCTGGGAAATACAATAGCCAATTAAAAATGACTATTGTACTTGAAACTTCCCATAATTTTTCAACATTGATCTCTCTTTTTTCTTGGATTTGATCTTGGTTTCTTTTGCCTAACATGCTCCTTGCTTCTTTTCATTTTCATTTTTTGGATCACTCCTTCATTGTTCATGTTGCAAGTATTTAAAAATGACGTTTCTTCAGGTCTCATTCCCAAGGCATTCTTCTTACTCTGTGTGATCATCCTGAGAAACCTCAACTAGCCCATTGCTTCGGAGTATAAACAACTCTAATGTTTACAGCTAAGTCCTACATTTTACTCCAGTATATCTAACTGCTTCATTTATATCTTCTCTTTGGATGCATCAAGAGTTCAGCAATTACAAAACTTAACTCGTTCTCCCCTGGCCTCTTCCAGGTTTTACATATTTCAGGAAAAGGCAGCATCATCCACTAATATGATTTGGCTGTGTCTGCACCTAAATCTCATCTTGAATTATAGCTCCCATAATCTCCACGTGTCGTGGGAGGGACCTGGTGGGAGGTAATTGAATTCTGGAGGCAGGTTTTTCTCATGCTGTTCTCATGCTAGTGAATAACTCTCACGAGATTTATAAAGAACAGCTCCGCTGCACACACTCTCTTACCGGCTGCCGTCTAACACATGCCTTTGTTCCTTTCTCTCCTTCCGCCATGATTGTGAGGACTCCCCAGCCATGCAGAACTGTGAGTTCCTTACATCTCTTTTTTTAAATAAATTACCCAGTCTTGGGTATTTCTTCATAGCAGTATGAAAATGGACTAATACATCCATCCTGTTGTTCCAATAAGAAACCAAAGTGTCAGCCCTGGCACCTTCTTCTCCTTCCCTTGGGGAATCCCCTGCTGTGCACGTCACCTGCCCTGAAATCCACTGAACTAGACCTGCCAAAAGTCTGACATCCACACACTGTCCTCACCCTCCACCACCTCTTTCTCCAAGGCAACAGCAATGCTGTGTGAGCTGCTGAAATATCCTCCTGTTTTTCAACTTTTCTCTTGCCCTTTACATTTCATTTTTCACAATGCAACTCAAGTAACGTTTTGCAAACTCAAATCCAGTATTTTTGTCCCCCGTTTAGAACGTCTGTGTGTCCTGCAAGCAACTCCTGAAATAAAGCCAAACTCTTCAGCATGTCCCTAAGGCTCTGTGGGACATGGCCCCAGTGGCTGCAGAACCTTCCCTACTACCACATGACCCTGCCTGGGCTCCAGCCACAGCCGTTTGCTATTTAAATCTCTGTTCTCCTGTTACAGGCATTTGTGCATGTTGTATCCTTTCTCCAGAACGATCGTTCCCTCTAACCCACTTAGATAAACACTGCAAGCTCCCTTTACCTCTCAATTCATTATTCATTGCATCTCTTTTCAGATTTTGTTTATTTGACAAATAAAAATTGTATATGTTTCTCATGCACAACATATTTTGATATATATGTGTGTGTATATATGTATATACATGATATATATGTGTGTGTACCTATATATATATGCTGTTGCCTTGGAGATGGAGGTGGTTGATATATATATATGTGTGTGTGTATATATATGTGTGTCCATATATATGTGTGTGTGTGTATATATGTGTGTATATATGTGCGTGTATATATGTGCGTATATATATGTGTGTGTGTATATGTGTGTGTATGTGTACATATATATATATATATATGTACACATACATACACCCAGCGGAATGGCTTGATTAAGCTAATAACATGTGCAGTACCTCACATACTCACTATTTATTTATGATGAGAACACATAAAATCTAATCACTTAGCAATTTTCAAGAATACAATGCGTTGTTATTAACTATAGTCACCAAGATGCACGTATTCATTATTCATCACATCTTATAAGAAACATTAACTGGCCTCTCCACTCCCTTGGGATTTCTATGACACACTTTATAGCGCTGCACAGCGCTCTCTCACAGCGCTTAGGGAGTTGCACCCTTGGCTTCTAGCACAATGACAAGCACAGAGCAAACTCAATGACATTTTGTAGATGGTTCGTTAGTGGGTGTGCCAGGGTGTAGCAATCTGGGGAAAGGGGAGGTGAGCAGTAAGCAAATACCTAGATGAGACATAGTTTCCCTCTGCATATGTTAATTCATTTTTATTTTTGTTTCTGTGCGCTCTGCTTTCCCATTTTCTATTTATTCTAATTTGAAGTCAGGATGTTCCCAGTCTTTAGTCTTCCCAATGTTTTGCCTACTGAATCCAGTAGGATTCAAACACTTCCAAGCTTAGGTTGATTTCCAATGGTCTATGCTCATAGCCTGGCAGGTTTCTGCTTATGAAGGCCCCTGATGACTCATGGCAAACATCTTTCAAAAATAAATGATTCCCTCTGCCCGTACGTAGCTCATCGTTCTTCCTGCAAAGGAGGGCAGGTTGGGAAGACTCTGCCAGTACATGTTCTACTTGTTTGCCGTTCTTTGGGATGAGGTATCAGAAGAGTGTATTCAGGATGATATGGGTGTATTATTCATATTGGTCAATTTGGGTCATATTTAGAAAAATTTTCTCAGAATTTCAGACATATAAATGTATCTTTTGAAGTTTGGACATAAGTACAATTTATTCACTATTTTTGTTATTGCATACATTTAAACAATTTGTACCTGAAGTACAATATTATCTCAATATGATGTCAAGTGACCATTTTGCACTAAAGCTAAATTATTTTCTGGAAGAGCTGAGGTGTTTGTACATGTATTAGGAAGTGAAGATGTCTCCAATCCATAAGCATGTGTTTTTTACTTTCCAGAATCATATCCCACTCATATCAGCCAGGATTCTCCAGATAAACAGAGCCAACAGAGAGAGAGAGAGAGAGAGAGAGAAAGAGAGGAGAGAGGGTATGTTATGGGGAGGCTTGTTCAAAATTTCCCAGGCAGGCTGGGACACTAAGAATCCCTGCAGCAGTTGATGCTCAAAGTCACGGTAGGGATAGAATTTCTTTCTCTTCAAGGGCCTCAGTTTTTTTCTTAAGGCTTTCAACTGATTGAGAGGTCCACCCACACGTTGGAAGGTAATCTACTTGACTCCCAGTCTACTAATTTACATTAATGACATCTAAGAAGCAGCTTCACAGCAACATCTGAACTGATGTTTAACCCCAAACCTGGACACCAGAGCCTAGCCAAGTTGACACATAAATTTAACCATCACACCACGAATTATAAAAGTAATAATATAAATATATATAAGTCTTTCTTCTTGAACATTTTTTTGGTAGAACTTTGAGATTCCAGATGTATTCTGGAGTTACTCAGATATAGAAACTCCTTTACTCCTAATTAAAAAGTACTTCATTTGTCTAGCTGCTAATTGGAATATGAAGAGAGAAAAACGCATCTGTGGATCTGTTTAGTCTAGAAATAGAATTGTTCTCATTATTGCTTTGTTTCCAAATATATGCCCTAAGCAGCGCCCAGAGAAGCCCTCTGAAATCATGAGACCTTTGAGAACAAACTCAATGTTTCTCAGTCAAACAGGAAGTGAATGGAGATTTGTTAAAAGTCACCAGGTCCCGGCAGTAAACAGCCTCTAGAGAAGTTCCGTTCCATTTCCCAAGGTTGAGATCAGTTCCCTCAGAGCTAGATATTGGTCATATCTATGCAGTTGCATTATCTCTAATGGTTTGGATTTTTAAACTGAGAGTTTCTCTAAGTTCTAATCATTCACATGTCAACAGGAGAATTTAATATATCGCTCACTGCATCCATTCAAGTGTGCAAAAGTCACAAACACCTCTTTCCACAGTCATGTGGCGGTTCATTCCAGGTCTCTGTAGACATACGATGAGTTGTGTGAATCACACGTCAGTGTCTAAAAACAGGTCCCTGTGGCTCGGAGAGGGTAAATGCCTTCCACATGGATGTATAGTTTATTTTCAAAGGGAAGTTGCACCATTGGAACGGGTTCTACTAAATGAGTTAATTTTTAAATTCCATAAATACCCTCTGTTGCATTCCATCTTATAAGCATAGGCATTAATGGATTAGAGAAGGCAATCAAAACTCTAGACTGCTATTTTTTAATATGTATAGGTCTCATCTGATATAAATAATAAAGTGATTACAAAGGATTTTGAAAGTACAAAGTGCTAAATGATGCAAAGTGCTTTCACTGTTTAGTGGTTGGTGCTGCTCAGAACAATGTGAATATACACTCATGACTACTGAGAGGGAATTCTGAGCTGTATAAATATAATGATAAATTGCATATTTTCACCTGATCCGTTACTGCTTTTCAAATGTTAAAATCTCCAATTCTCCGTAACAGCCATCTTTTTCTTTTTATAAATTTTATTTTTTTGAATTATGTAAATCAACACTATGCATGTCTCTGAGAGGTATCAAATGGGAAGAGATACATATAGTCTTGTTATGTGACTATATACGCTCATGTAGCACACATATTCTCATATGTGCAAATATACTCCAGAAACAAATATTAAGTATATACCATGGGCACTGAAATGATTCAGACTTGATCCATTAATAGTAGGAAAGAAAAAAAAAAAAAATCTAAAAGGAAATGGTCATTTTCATATGGCTTCTGAATTTTATTTTTAAATAGATCATTGTACTTGGCATTAGAAGATCTAGGATGAAGTCTAGACTTTTTATTTGCTTGCTGTGAGACCTTGGACATGTTTCCAAGAACAGAACAAAACAAAACATGAAAAAGTATCCTTATCAAAAAGGGGGGGTGATAATATTTTCCTCTTAGGGGTATTGTGAAAATTAAATAGGGCATGGCTTTTCAATTTAGGGACATGTTGTAGATCCTTAAGAAATGTTAGCCTGCTTCCCTTTTAACTTGAAGCAATGACTCCAAACTCTCAAGGACTACTTGAGAATTTGAAAGTATCTATAAAACTGTCCTCAAAATTGAGTAAGGCATAATTATAAATGTCAAAAACCCAACCCATCTCCTTTAGATCTCCTTTAGACTTACAAAGGCACAACTACCTAATTTATTTAACAATAGCAACAATGCCACTAGAAAATAGAGAATAATTGTTTGGTATTTTTTTCCTTTTTTACATATGATAAAACTGAGACTTGGAAAAGTCAAAATTTCTTGCCTAAGATCATAGTATAACTGGATTGTTCAACCCAGAACTCTCCACCTCTTGTGTGTGAATCCGTCATTCTACAGTATCTTGTTTCTTGTATATATTATTTCTTATATAAGCAGGAATAGTTAAGTATGAATTTCTTCACTCATGTGTACCAACAAATCACTTTACTTTTTCCATCTTTATTAAAAAATGGAATATAATGATAAAATCAGACCTCCATGTTAAAATTAATTTTCTACAACTTGATGTTATATCCAGCTTTTCTTTTGCAAAAAATGTCTAATATATATAGAATATAACTTTTTAATGTAGATATTCATATGAAAGAACTGTGAGTATAACTGAATCAGTCCTCTGATGTGAGTTACTATTTTTAATAAATTTAACACTTACAACAACGCTAAAATAATCAATTCCTTTTTCATTCACCTGCAGAATGTAACAGTCTAGAAATTCATAGCAAACAACCAAATTAAGTGCATTATGTTAGGTCATTGAAAAATATTTTAAATTGCTAAATCTAAAAACCTATGTGATGGTAACCTTTAAGATCACAGGAAATTCAAAAGTTAGCAGTAACAGCTCCCTTTTGTGAATTTCAGTATATTGACAAAGTAATAGATGATGCAGAAACATGAGGTACTCTAGTATTGTTATAAAACATCAAAAACTGTATCTGGCAGCCCACGGGTTATTTATGTACCACAAGAGAGACCACTCACTAAAGTTGATTTACCATCACCTCTCAAAAAAAGAAATATTGATTTCAGAGTGAGAAGCCTTCCTCATCTTGGCCTAAACCAGTACTCTGCGTGTGTAATACTCCACATACCATCTCACACATTTGCGAGGACTGTTCTCTGTTGATTCTTTTGGGTTCTGTATCTTCAACATCTTCATGTGCAATGGCTCAGTGGTCCCAGAAGAGCTGCTGAGACATCGTCCTGTTGCAGGGGATGTAACTGACTGGCAATCCAGCTGCTGCTTATTGGGGTCCACCCCTCATCGGCACCAACTTCACACCTTCCCTTGCTGCCCTCAGCCTGTGCTTGCACACAGCTGGGAACTAATGGAAACTCATGTCCGCAGGATGTAGGATTCCCCCAGTGGGCAACTCTGGCTCTAGGATGGTCTAGTGGGCATGGAGAACTGGTTAGGCCTCACCTAGACGTTCCTACAACAGCACTGCAGTTACAGGTTGCTCTACTCAAATTGACCTTCTTCCCTCCTTCTCTCTCTTCAGAGGCATCAGATCTACATTCCCCTCTGAAGCCTCTCTTGCCTCCTCTAGCTCCCTACCATGTCCAGATCCAATGCCATCTGCTTTCCCCTCTTCTGCCTCTTGCCCTTGTCTCTCCATTGTCACAACCATCAGCAAACTCACGTTTGGGTTCCACGATGCTGTTAAATCTAATGGTCACTTGTACTCTTAAAAACCTAACCTGTCTATAGCACCTGTAGGTTCTTAAAATATTTTCTCTTTGAAATGCATCATTCTGCATTCTACTTTATTTAATTCCCCTGCCTGATTTTTCCTTTACACTCCTGCTAGTGGGTTTTCTGTCCTCTGCCTGTATCTTAAATACCGCTCTTTTAAAAAAATTATTATTCTGTCTTGGGGCTTTACTCCTTTTCACTCTACATTTTTCCCTCAAAAATCATCTCCTGTCCCTAATGACCATCATCTTTGTGGATACATCCAAGTCTGGATCGCATTATTAAGATTTGAGTGACAAATGCACTCTGGACATCTCTTCTTGTATGCTCAGTATTCCACAAAGATGAAACAGGACTCATTATCTCCGTGGAAACCCTCCAAACTATTTTTCGTTTTCCTTACTCCAACGATTGGTACCCGTATAAACTTGGGTATCAACTTAATTTCATTTCTTTCTTTTTTCATAGACTCAAAATCCAACTCTATAACCTCCAAACCTAATTGCTCACAAATCTACATGCGATACTCACGGATAATCAGTACTCAAATAGGGCAATCCTCATTTTGTTTGATTGACAGCTGTAACAGCCTCCTAAGTAGTCTACTTGCTTGCAATTTTGAATGGGTTCGATCAAAATATTTTATTCGTTTATAAGTTTGCTAAGGCTACTGTAACAAAATACCACACACCGACTGGTTTAAATAACAGAAATTTATTTCCCACAGTTCTGGAGGTGAAACGTCCAAGATCAAGGTGCTGGCAGGGCTGTCTCTCCCGAGGCCTCTCTCCTAGGCTTGCAGACGACCACCTTCTCTCTATTCTTATGGTCTTTCCTCTGCGCATGCCCATCTCTTGTGTCTCTTTAAGTGCCCAGACTTCCTCTTTTTATAGAAACCAGTCAGATTAAATTAGGTTCCATGCTGATAGCCTCGTTTTATTTTTATTTATTTATTTTTGAAACAGAGTCTTGATCTGTTGCCCATGCTGGAGTGCAGTGGCGCGATCTCCGTTCACTGCAACCTACGACTCCAGGGTTCAAGTGATTCTCATGCCTCATCCTCCCTAGTAGCTGGTATTACAGGCACCACCACACCCAGCTAATTTTTGTATTTTTAATGGAGACATCATTTCTCCATGTTGGTCAGGCTGGTCTTCAACTCCTGACTTCAAGTGATCTGCCTGCCTCGGCCTCCCAAAGTGCTGAGATTACAGGCGTGAGCCACTGCACTGGCCATGTACCTTCTTTTTGAGCTACAGAGACCTATTTTTAACTTCCCTGGGATACTAGATGCTTTCTGCCTTTGAGCTTTGATTGAGCTGCTCCCCATGCCTCAGGTATCAGCTCAGCTGTAGTGTCCTTTGAAAGTGCTGATCTACTCCCTTGTAGGAAGGTGGACTTCCTCTGCAGTGTCCTTCTGTGGCAACACACATATTGCTGTCATCACACATATGACATCGCATCCTTTCAGTTGCTTTCTTACTTGTAGCTTCCACAATCCTGAAGATTCAGGAGAACAAGGGCAAAACATGTTCAAAATTGTATTATCTCCAGAGTATATTTTAAGGGTTTGCACATCTTAGATTGTAAGTATATAAGTTACTATAGATACTGATTGTACAGGAAATTACAATTTTAAAAATGGATGTGCATTTAAGGAAAATAGCACGTATTCAGATGAGAGATTTGGGGAAGATTGTAGCCTAAGGGTCTTAGCATTCTCCACTTTCAGCTCAGTATCTTCCCATCTGCATCCCCTGAACCAAGCTTCAGGCTGGTGTGCAGCGTGGGGATCACGGCCACTCCCAGTCATGATACCCAGCAGTTGTACCTGAGCCCCAAAAATTTCACCCAAAAATAACACTAATAAAAATAACTAACTACCCAACTAAGATTACCTAGAATCTGTAGAGAATAATAACTTTTTAAAAAATTCAGAACATGTTCTTTATGAAAAGGAGTTACTGTAGAAGAGATGAAAGCTTGAAAAACGACAAATTTATAACAAGAAAAAAGCTTAAGGATATCGAAGAATCACACGGAGAAGAAGCGCTGGAACTGAAAAGTGGATGAGTAAGTTGGAGAGAAGGCCACTCCCTTTTGAGATGTAAAATGGTGGACTAGAACATCAAAGGAAGAGTCTGAAACAAAGAGCAAACATACAAGAAGATGTAATTTATGTTGGAAAATTTACAGATTCTTGGGCAATATATCCAGGAAAATCAATACACGAAGTATAGATATTCAAGAGAAGAAAAGAACTGATAATCATTTTAGTGATAATAGTGAACAAATAATAGAAAACCATCTCTTTTGAAGAAGAAAATCTGAAATTGAGCATAATAATAATAATCAGTTCATCACTGGATATTTTATCTCTTCCTTTCAAGTAGAAGACCACGGAAGAAGGGCTGAAGACTGTCATTCAGGAATTCTCTTTTCAGCAAGATACTTCCCTTTAAGGATTAAATAAAGCTCTTTCTGACTATATAAGCAGAGACTACAAAACCCAGGTAACCTGTTTGGAAAATTTTAAACAAATCCAAATATAGCAAAACATAGAGATCAATAAATAAGATCTAATTGGAATAAATTATTAGAGTGCAGTGAACCTTGTCTGTGTGTGTGTGCCTATATATATAGATATATATAGAGAGAGACACACACAAATTGAAATAAACATAAATATAAATAAGAAGTAGCATGATTTAATGTCTAAGAGTTAGTTCTGCAGCTACATTTTTGGAGTTTAAATCATACTTGTACCACTTATCAGCTAAATCATGTCCATTTCACTGTTCATACCTCAGTTTCTATAAATCACACACAATAGTACTTACATAACTCATAGCCTTCATATAACATTATTTCATTTAATATTTATAAAGTTCTTAAAACACTGATTATGTCATACTAAATACTACATATTTATTAAATAAATTAATAAATAATGATGAGGTGACTAGAACTGAGTAATTTCTAGAAATTGCAAACAATCACATATGCACATATGTTTCAAAGTAACTTGCTCCAAATTAAACTATCGTAAGACAACACATCATGGGGAAAGAGACATCAAAGGCAATAATGCTACTCATATGTAAGGTAGAAGGGGTTGATTATGGTGAGACAATGGCCTCAGCATATTCTAAAGGCCTCATTTGTTAGGGTTGAGGTGAGGAGGTTGCGAGACAAAGCACAGAGAATGTTAGTGAGAAGAGCTGCTGTTGAGCAGTCCTGTAGTGGTGGAGAGGTTTTTGTCTGATTCAGGTACAGGGAAGACAGCTATTAAAGAAATGGAAAAGTTTAATCGAATTTTCAAATAAACAAAGAAAAAAAGAAAAGTGAATCGACAGCAAAACCAGAAAAGTTGGATTAGCAAAATTAGGAAAAAAAAAAAAAAAAGAAACAATGAAATACGATGAATTATTAACATAAAATAAAACAAAAAGAATAAATCCAAATATAGCAATTGTTTAACTATCATTGAGTTAAATCCTTTTAGGAGATTAAAACTGTTATGTTAGAATAAACAACATTTCTCCACTATTTTTACAAATTCAGTTAACGGGCAGTAGGTGCACTTTCTAAAGTAAGTGTATGCATGCATGTTTTTTTTTTTTTCTTAAAATGTTAGAAATAAAGGGATGGAGAAATCAGTACCAGACAAGAGAAAACAGGAAAAGCAATATTATTTTTAGACAAGGTGGAAATTAAGGTTAAAATACAAAAGGTAAACAGAACACCATATAAAAAATTAAGGAGCATATTTGTGACGGTTATTTAACACTCATAAAAATGAATGCAACAAAGAACATAATAGCTAAAGGTATAAAACAAATTATATTGTTCAAAAATGAAAGGGAAATATAAATGCGATTTTATTAAAATATTTTAACATAACGTTTTTCAGAATCAGAGACACCTGTTAGAGTGCTTCTCAAATTACCCACAGTAAAGCAGTCCCCCATCCACAAACAATTACAGACTTACAATTGGCAAATACAGCAAAAATAATTAGAAAATGTTAATGTTGACTGGGCGTGGTCACTCACACCTGTAATCCCAGCACTTTGGGAGGCCAAGGTAGGCAGATCACTTGACGTCAGGAGTACAAGACCAGCCTGGCCAACATGGCGAAGCCCCGTCTCTATTAAAAATACAAAAATTAGCCAGGCATGGTGGCAGGTACCTGTAATCCCAGCTACTAAGGAGGCCGAGGAAGGAGAATTGCTTGAATCCAGGAGGTGGAGGTTGCAGTGAGCTGAGATTGTGCCACTGCACTCTAGCCTGGGCAACAGAGTGAGACTCCGTCAAAAAAAATAAAGAAAGGAAGGAAGGAAGGAAGGAAGGAAAGAGAAAATGTTAACATAAAAGACACACTGGAAATAAAATTATTATTTCAAATTTTTATTACGATGTCATAACATGAAATACATTTCTGTCCTTATTTCATCATGGACCAGTGACAAACATGCCACACACTGGCCTAGATCATAGGTCCTGCTGACAGCACCAGTGACCTAGAAGATAAAATGAGTGAAGCTGATGAACCTTCCATACACAACCAACGGGCTTCCCACTTGCTCCAGACAGAATGCTGCAGAAGTCTGCAACATTTAACCACCAACAGGCACACAGAAAAAAAGGCTCCAAAAAAAGCCTGTTCCCAGTGGCCAAGAGGAAAAGCCTATTGGCAGTGCCTTCCTGCTGGGATCTGAATGTCAGTGTCTCCTCAAATTCATAGGTTGAAACCTCACCCCCAACACAGAGGTTGGGCCTTTTGGAGGTGATTAGGTCATAAGAGACCCGCCATCATGAATGCAATTAGAGCCTTTATAAAAGGGCTTGAATGAGCCTCTTGCTGCTTCTGCCACATGAGGATCTATGTGGAAGAGAAATCTGCCCTGTCCACACTCACCAGGCACCAAATCTGCTGGTGTCTTGATCTTGGACCTTCCACTCTCAAGTTGTGAGTGATAAATTTCTGTTGTTTATAAATTACCCAGTATTTTGTTATAGTAGTCCAAATGGGCTAAGATACCACTTCATTTCAGCCAGATACCAACAGAAAAAACACACTGTCAGGCCTCTGAGCCGAAGCTCAGCCATTGTAACCCCTGTGACCTGCACATATACAGATGGCCTGCAGGAGCCAAGAAGTCTGGAGCAGCTGAAAAACCACGAAAGAAGTGAAACAGCCAGTTCCTGCCTTAATTGATTAACCAACTTTATGACATTCCACTACTATGACTTGTTCCTGCCCTACCCTAACTGATCAATCGGCCCTGTGACATTCTTCTCCTGGACAATAAGTCTCGTGATCTCTCCACCATGCACCTTGTGACCCCCTCCCCTGCTGACAACAAAAAACCACCTTTAACTGTAACTTTCCACTGCCTACCCAAGCGGTATAAAGCTGCCCCTCTCCTATCTCCCTTCACTGACTCTCTTTTCGGACTCAGCCCACTTGCACCCAAGTGAGTAAACAGCCTTGTTGCTTACACAAAGCCTGTCGAGATGGTCTTCTATACTGACACGTGTGACACCCTCATCTTCACCACTAACGTCCCACTGTTATTCCATAAAGCCTGGTGGTAAGAACATGGAAAGAGATAAAAATTAAAAAATATATAATGGGCGACTTCTTCTAACTAATTACTTTAATCTCAAGATGATTCCATTAAAAAGTGGGGAGAGTAATGGGTCCGAAATGAAAATAAGTTTTCTGCACTACCCTGGATGATACCAGTAGATTGTGATGAGATACCTACAGGTGCTTCTCTACTCACAGTGGGGTTACCGCCTGATAAACCTGCTGTAAGTTGACAATATCATGAATCGAAACTGTATTAAATATAAGTAACATACCATACGTCACAGCTTAGCTTAGCCTACCTTCAATGTGCTCAGAACTCTTAATATTAGCCCACAGTTAGGCAAAATCATCCAAAAGAAAGCTTATTTTGTAATAAAGTGTGGAATATCTCATGTAATTAATTGAATACTGCAGTGAAAGCAAAAGATAGAATGTTTTTGCATCACTGTAAAGTTGAAAAATGTAAGTCATAAGTTGGGGACTATCTGTGGAGCAGGTCCTCCACTTACGTTTTTGTTCAATGGTGTTTCCCTATAATGTTGATGAGAAAAGAAAAATTGATTCTAGCTGAGACCACTGTCTGTGTGAAGTTTGGATAATCTTCCCAGCACTCTGGTTTCCTCTGACACCCCAAAGACCTGCATGTTAGATGGATAAGTGTGTCTAAATGGTCCCGCTGGAAGTGAGTGTAGGTGGGAGTGTGTCCTGCCTGCAAGGATGAGGTCCTCTCCTGAGGTGGTTTATTCCTTGCATCTTGAACTGCTGGGATAGGATCCAGCCACTTGCCACCCTAAACTGGAATAAGCGGGTTGAAAAATAAATGCATTAATGAGGGAATACAAGTGATTGTAAAATAAAAATGTGTAAAGTGTACTATATTTATATAAATGCACATCAATAAACAAGCAGTACAAAAACACTCAGTGAGCTTGACATATTTGTTATTTATTTATTTAATTAATTTTTTTAGTGGTAGGAGGAGCTCCTTACAATTTTTCCTTTACAAAACCTTATTCCTTGATTTAACCCACCACCTCCACAATCACAATTGCTCAGTGAGTCACTAAAAGTTGGTTAAATAATTATCTTACTTGTCGTTATTACCCGTCCTCCTCTCTCTCTCTCTCTCTCTCTCTTCCTTTTTCTTTCTTTCCGAAGTCTCGCTCTGTCGCACAGACTGGAGTCCAGTGGCGCCATCTCGGCTCACTGCAAGCTCCACCTCCCAGGTTCACACCATTCTCCTGCCTCAGCCTCCTGAGTAGCCAGGAATACAGGCGCCCGCCACCTCCCCTGGCTAATTTTTTGTATTTTTTTTTTAGTAGAGACGGGGTTTCACCGTGTTAGCCAAGATGGTCTCCATCTCCCAACTTCGTGATCCGCCCACCTTGGCCTCCGAAAGTGTATGTAAAGCTCTTTATTTCAATATTAGAAGGGTTTTGGATGTTTACTTAGAAAGTTGGTGATGTTTTTGTGGCCAGAAATGTGCCATAGGAACTTAATTTTTATTTATATCAGTTAGCCTGTGGTAAAACTGATTTCATTATACATCATTTCATTTAAAGTCACAGTTTCTAAGAACCTATCAGTGATATTAATTGAGGCTTACTGGGTTAAATTATAATACCTACTCTAAGAAAATTATACAAAGTGATATGCTAAAAATACCATAAATAAATCAAGGTGGAATACTAAAAATGTTCTAATTATCCATGGGAATTTAAGGGTGAAAAGAGAAAAATAGGAAATAAGCAAATAAATAAATAAATAAATCATTATTATAATATGGGAATAAAATGGCAGGCTTACCTCAAATATATCAATAATTACTTTATGTTTAAATAACCTAAATATGCTAACCAAAATGACAGAGATAGATAGCATGAATTTTTTTAAGAAACAAACTTTACAGTGCTTATTAAAAATTAATATCAAGTACAACAATATGGATAGTTTGAATATAAAGGAGGGAAAGGATACACAGTGCAAACATTAATCAAAAAAGCAAAAATGGCTGTGCTAATATTAGATAAAGTAGATTTCAGAGAAAGGAAAATTAGTAGACATAAGAATGATGAAAGTGTGAAGCCATAAGAAAGACAAAGATTCTAAATATGAATGCACCAAATAAAATAGTTTCAAAAGACATGATGCAAAAACCGATAGAGTTAATAGGAGAAGTGGAAGAATCCACAATAAGATTCTTAATTAGATTGAGGATTCAACATACCAGTCCTAGCAATGCAGATAATATCAACAGAAATGTAGAATGATGATGACACAATCAACTCGCATACTGAGACTAACAACTATAGAATGTCCCCACCCAATAACAGAAAACAGATATTTTTTCAAACACCATGAAACATTTGCCAAGAAAGATTATATTCTGGCCTGTAAACAAACCTCAAAAAAAGTAAACAATTTGAAATTGTCCAGAATATTTTTCTATTCATAGAGTAATCAAACTAGAAATCAGTAACAGTTAAATTTATTTATTTATTTGTTTATATATATATATATATATATATATATATATATTTTTTTTTTTTTTTTTTTTGAGACAGAAGTTTGTTCTTGTTGCCCAGGCTGGAGTGCAATGGTGCGATCTCAGCTTACTGCAACCTCTGTCTCTCAGGTTCAAGTGATTCTCTTGCCTCAGCCTCTCAATTAGCTGGGACTACAGGTGTGCACCACCATGCCCGGCTAATTTTTGTATTTTTAGTAGATACAATGTTTCACCAAGTTGGCCAGGCTGGTCTCGAACTCCTGACCGCAGGTGGTCCACCTGCCTCAGCTTCCCAAAGTACTGGGATTACAGGTGTAGGCCACCGTAGAAATCAATAGCAGAAAGATAAAAAAAACAATCTTCAAAACCTTGGAAATGAAAAAACACATCTAAATAATCCATTGGTAAACTAGTAAGTGTTCTAGTGAGTTCAGGCTGCTATTAAGATACCACAGACCATGTGACTTAAACAACAGATTTTTTTTTTTTTACATTTCTGGAGGCTGGGAAGTTGAAGATTGGGGTGCCAGAATGGTGGGGTTCCTAGTTTGGGCTCTTTTCTTGGCTTACAGATGGCCGTCTTCTCCTTGTTACCTCACAGGTGTAAAGATAGATCATCTTCCTCACATCTCTTCTCTTAAGGTCCCCAATCCCATTCAGGAGGGCTCCACACGCAGGGCCTCATCGCCTCCCGAGGTCCCACCCCCTAACACCATCACACTGGGGGCCAGGACTTCACTATAAATTTTAGGAGGACACACATATTCAAGCCATAAAAGGAAGCCTCAAAGGAAGTTTTAAAAAATACATCAGTCTAACTGAAAATGAGAATACAACATCTGGCATTAAATGAGATGCAGTTAATGTAAGAGAGAGAAAAAAATTATACTAGAAGGTAATGCTTTGTAAACTCAAACTACCAAAAGTCAACTAAGATAAAATAGATGATCTGAATAGCCCTTTACCTGTTAAGAGAATAGACTCCATAATTTAAAAATGGTGTTGCATTTTCTTAAAAACAACACAAATGCAATTATCATTGTCATTATCGCCCAGATATTACACTCCTGGGCATTTATCCTGAAGAAATAAAGACTTAACATCTCCACAAAAAAAAAAAAGAAAAGAAAAAAAGAAAAAAAAAGAAAAGAAAAGAAAACCTGTAGACAATTGTTTATAGTAGCTTTATTCATAATAACAAAAATCTGAAAACAAGCCGGATGTCTTTCAACAAGTGGGTGGCTAAATACACTGTAACACATTGCTATCATGGGATGGTACCCAGCAACCAAAAAGAAGGATTCGTAGCAGAACAGAGTGGTTCAATATTCAAAAGAATTATGGTGAGTGAATAAAAAATCTAGCCTCAAAGTTAATGGATACGGTATGATTCCATTTCCATTTCCATAACCTCCTAGAATTAACAAAATTATAGAAATGGAAAAACAACAACAACAACAACATTGGTGGTGTCCAGGAGTTCTCAAGGGGCTGGTAATGGGAGGGGACAAGTAGGTGTGGCTATGAAGGGCAGCATGAAGAATGTGTGTGCAGATGGACTTCTGTGTCTTCACTGTATTGACGTCAGTATTCTGGTTGTGATAATGTACTACACTTCTGTGAAATAGTAACTTTGGGGTAAAATTTTAAAAAGATACACAGGATCTTTGTATATTACTTCTTTCTTTCTCTCTTATTTTTTTTTTTTTTTTGGCCTCCCAAAGTGCTAGGATTACAGGCATGAGCCACCATGCCTGGCCTCTATGAATTCTTAAAATTGCATGTGAATCTACAATCCTTTCAAAACAAAAAAAAATTTAGTCAAAAAAATAAGGAAATGCAGCTCAGAAAAACTGTGAGATTTCTCCAAAGCAAATTTTTTACAAAATATCAACACGTAATACATGAGGTAGGTTTACAATGAAAAATCGCTAAACTTATAAAATTGATTAGCAGGACATGAAATACAAATGTTAAATAAAGAGGAACAGCTAACACTGATGAAAAATTAAAGATTGTTACATCATCTATGGTTCAAGTTTTTCTTATGCCAATAAAAAAGTTGTTTTTTAAACAAATAAACAATAGTTTTTTAAGCAAAATATATGAATGAGCAAAATAAAGAAACAACCAGCAACTGAGGACAATGAAAGAGTGGAAAAAAAGCAACAATAAACCCTATCCCCACACCAGAAATCTTCATTCCTTCTTTAGTACATTAAAATCCTGCTCATCTAAATTTCAAAAAGAATATTACCCTCAGCCTCAACTCTTTCAGGAATTCATTGACATCAAAAGAGATACATTGGGAAATAGTCCCTTTTGTGAGCTCTCTCCTCTGTCCCAATTATGATTCTGAAATATCGATCATTGCTACTTCCAGGAATAGCCACTTGGCCCTTGGAAGATGACATTACAATGTGTCATAAATGCTCTGTAAAGGAATAGAGACCTGGTAAGAGGAAAAGATATTGCTGAGGAAATCAATATAAGAAAGCTTGGCGTGTACCCACTTGTACTAAATAATTTATAAGGGCAAGAGCAATAGCCGTAAAGGTAGACCAACTAGGAGTCCATCCTTCTTGATGTTTTAAGTAAGACTGCAGTCAGGAGACAAGGGCTTCCTTCTCCAGCTCTACCTCGACTGTGTGTTCATGGGTCCACTTTGCTCAGCTGCAAGCATGGATCATAAAAGCTTGTTCCATAAGGCTCAGAGTTATCGTGAGAACACAATGAGAAAGCCTATGGAGAACATATTGAAAATTTGAAAATCAACTTAATATTCATATGCTTCCTAATAGTTGTATATTTTTCTTATGACTCTGTGCAAGATTCCATGTTCATCTCCTATTATGCTCCTGGGCGTCTTTAAAACTATCTAAGTAATTACATAACATTGGATTATAGGAAAACAAAATTAAAGATGAAAAAATCTAATATTTGTTACATTTATTTTATGAGATCTATATTATTCCTTGGGTATTTTGTGGATGGATCATTTCAGCATTATCTGGCTATTTCGCTTGTTGAAATTGTCATGCTTCTTTTTTCCCTGTAATTAAAGTATATTCTAAATATATGATAAGTAATCCATAACTAACTAATGAAATGAAATAATTAGCTGGTTCTCAACAAGACTGAGAATTCCTGTTCCGTGGTTTCTGGCCTGACTTTAAACTTTGTTTTTGCCAGTCAGTAATCTGGAGAGTCCTAGATCTTAAGCAAAGTGGCCTGAAGAACAATGTTGTCTTTCTGGGCCTGAATTACCACTACATTTGGATAAATTTCTAGCTTTTGATGCTATTGTAAAATGTTTATGAAACTTTTAATCTAACATGTCACATTTGTAGTGTTATTACTCCTTGTTGGTTACTTCCATATAAATAATTTACCTGTGAGAAACTGAGATTTTAAAAGGTTAGTTGAATAGCACCAGGCTATGCCTCTTGGAAACTGTAAAAAAAGGATTTACATCTTGGTAATATGACACCAAATCCTGTGTGTTTCTTCTTTATTCTTGCATCCTAAAGTTTTTAAAATAATCTACCTTGGGTCTTTTCCCTATAGTTCACACTTGAAAATTAATAATAAGCAAAACTTTCACTGAAAAAATCTAAATAGAGGCACATTACCATACTTTTCACAAGAGACGACAAAGGAATAGACTTGAGGATCAGTTTCCAAATCATGTAGACGGGGCCCCTTTTATGTGCCATTGCATATATTTTTTCAAAGCAATAGATGGTATTACGAAGAGTCGCTGTACTAATATATAAAAATGAACACTTGTTTATCCTTTAGGAAATAGGATTGTTTATACATTAAATTCAAGCAATAAGTATTTTACAGGAGTCACTTATCTGAACCAAATTGAATTCTGATGTCCTTGTCATTAATTTATATTAAACTTGTGTTCATCCGTTGAAAGATCAAAGCTTCTCACTTAAGAAAAAAAAATGTGGAAGATTTGAAAATAAAAATGTGATCGTTTAAAGTCTTCTAGAACCATTTTTTAAGATAAATTATACGAATCATTTAAAAAATGGGGCATATAAATAAAATGTAATCACTCCAGTTCATCTGTGCAGACGGTTTCTGTGTACACCAGCTGGATATCCTTGGAAGGATGGATTCCCAACCCTTCCTGTACTATGGTATCGATTCCACAAGCTATATTACGTATATACGGCACAGTTTGTCTATACATATGGCACAAACTATGCCATATATGAACACAAAACTGGGCAAATAAATAAAGCAATGAACAATCATTTTGAATGTGTGTTATTAGAAACAGATTGTGTAATGAAAATTAAAAAAATTTTAAAAAGTCTCCCAGTCACTGTGGTTAGGGTGTTTAATATGCAAACATATGAGTCAAGAGAGTGGGACTAAATCATCCACTTATAATCAACCATATTCTGCTTGCTTATATTGTTTTTAATTTTTCTGTTAGATAAATTTGTTTCATCACATTGGTGTTACATTTCAATCTGAAACCTACCATCTGCCTGTTGCCAAAATGAAATGATTCAGACGTGGAGATGCACAAACACTTTTGAAGAATAGTCAAAGCCACTCAGGCTAAACGTTTTTGAACAGTCAGCCAGTAACTAGCCCAGTAGGAAAACTCATTGATATTATTTCAACCGTTTAGAATCGTACTAAATGTTTCAAAGTCTGTAAAATATTTTATAATGAACTATAAATTTGTCATTTGGTTTTTATTAAAATGTGTATTTCCAATGGTCTTTTTTCAAAGTGCATTGATGCAAACATAAATGTTTTCTAAATTTAGACAAAAAGAACCCATATTCTTCAATATATTTATATGATATAGAGATATATGTTATATATTTAATCACATATATATCTTTGCAATGAAATAGTGTTATTGTTTTGGAGTATAGCTTTAAAATTGTAAAAGGCTTAATATCTAGTGGTTTAAAAAATGATAAGGAAGATATTTCTCATGATCTCATATTTTTACAATTAGGATTTTGACATTAAATGAATTGTTCAAAGTTTAAACTTTTAAAGTGTCATAGTGAACTAAAAGTTTAACCAATATCTAACGTCACAGGCTAAAATCCAATTTTGTCACAAAATGCTTTATTTCTTGATAAATTACTGATAATATTCAAGAGAATATTTCAAAGATCTAGCAGTCCTAAAACTAATATTCTACTACACTTCTTTTAAACATCAACATCTATTTTTCTCATTAAATTCAGTGATATGCTATTTAAATTCAAGTAGATCTTGCTTGCATTACACTTATTTTTGAACACTTATAATGTTGGTTTTGTAATGAATTATAATTTACTTCAATTAGTTTTAGCTTTGTTTTTCACATGGTAACAGTTTATCATTAGGGCTTTTTTGTTTGTTTGTTTTGTTTTGTTTTGTTTTGTTTTCTTCCAATTAACAAGGTTTAGTGCTCTGTGGTTTTGTGAAAGGAAAATAAATCTTGGGACCCCAAATTCACTATGCCAAAGGGAAAAGGGAAGCTGGGAACTGTGTCAGGAAAACTGGCCTCCTATTTTATTCCTAAATAAGATTTCCACAAAGTTAAAAATGCTACATACCTCCCTCACAAATTGGCTATGAGGAAATTCCTTGTGGGCCCCAAGATCTTTACCCTAAAATAGTTATGTTGAATTTTACCCTGACAATGTAAATTGCTAGCTTCTCTTCCCAGGTGCAGGAAAAAGACAAAACTCTAAGTCATCCCTCTGCTCACCTAGACAAATGCATACCTGATTGCTTCCTCTGATGTAAAAATGAAGATCCACTGAGTCAGAACAAAGGCATTAATGATCATTTCTCTAGTGACTGTCCCCCCAACATGTAAATTGTGTATTTGTGAAAGGCTGACCAAAGACTCAAAAGAATGCAACCCTTTGTTTCTTACCTATGCGTACTTTTTTTTTTAACTTTTTTATTTTATTATTATACTTTAACTTTTAGGGTACATGTGCACATTGTGCAGGTTAGTTACATATGTGTACATGTGCCATGCTGGTGCGCTGCACCCACTAACTCGTTATCTAGCATTAGGTATATCTCCCAATGCTATCCCTCCCCCCTCCCCTCACCATTTCTTTCTCTTCCTGCAGTATCCATCGTTTCCTCTTTAAATACTGAAGCCCTCAAAATTATTCTTTGAGAAGGGCAAGAGCTGCCTCCTGAGCATGCATCCTTAACTTGGCAAAATAACTTTCTAAATTGATTTGAGATTTGTCTCAGATACTTTTGGTTCACAGTTTCATTTACTAATAGAAGAAATGAATAGGAAAGAAGACCCTAAAAGGAAGAAATAGGGAACTGAGAAGAAGATAGAAGAGGAATGAAGAAGAAAAACTTTCAAGAGAATGAATGCATATCTCTAGATAAGTGTGGTATTCAAAAGAAGCACTAACTCCATGAAGGGGAAGAGAGTCGGGCGCAGGGAGAGAAAGAGCAAATGAGGAAGTTTCCCATCAATTAGGGGATAGCTTCAACTCAGGACAATATATGCTCTGAGGAATGGAGATGTTGTTGAACAGAGTCAAACTCTAAAATATTAAGGAGGCTTATCTTGAGCTAAACATGAGTGACCAAGTTCCAAGGCATAGTCTCAGGAGGTCCTGAGAACATGTGCCCAAGGTGGTTGGGTTACAGCTTAGGGGGACAGAGGTTACAGGCAGATATCAGTCACCACATGTAAGGTTTATGTTGATTTGGAACAGAAAGGCAGGACAACTTGCAGAACGCTTCCAGATCATAGGTAGATTTAATTATTTTCTGACTGGTAATTGGTTGAAGTGGTTAAGCTCTCCCTGAAGAGTTGAAGTCAGCAGAAAGAAATGCTAGTAGAAGATTGGAAGGGTTGTGGAAGCCAATGCTTTTGTTATGTAGATGAAGCCTCCAGGTAGCAGGCTTCAGAGAGAATAGATGATAAATGTCATCTATTTGATAAATATCTGATAAATGTCTATCAGACCCTATAGGTGCAAGACTTTTAGTTAATTGTCTCCTGGATCAGGAAAAGACCTGGAAATGGATAAGAATTCTCTATAGAATGTAAATGTCCCCCACAAGAAGCAGCTTTGCAAGACCATTTCTAAATATGTCAAAGAAATCTATTTTGGGGTAAAATACTTTGATTTCTTTCAGGGCCTGATGTCATGATTCTATACTAGAGTCAGGTTGGAATTTGGCATCTTATTGCTACAAAGAGTCCATTTTGTCAGTCTTAATATTTCTGGTTTAGTGTTAATGCTGGTCAGTTGTGCCTGAATGTCAGAGGGAGGAGGGGATAATGAGGCATGTCCAACTCTCGCTTCCCATCATGGCCTGAACTAGTTTCTTAGGTTTCTTTTGGAATGCCCTCGGCTGACAGGAGGGCTCCGTTCTGTTGGCTGGGGGGCTTAGCATTTAATTTTTGGTTTACTGAGGTGATGTGCTACAGCCTAAGAAGGACTAAAGGAAAACCATAGGCACATTGCCATGTAATGAATAAACATTAACACATTTGCACGTAGCAGAAAGGGAGCTCTTATAAAGGTTTCCTGGTAAATAAATCTGATCTTAGCTAAAATCAAATGTTTTAAAAGGTAAGGCGAGAATAAAACACAGAGCTACTAGTTCAATGAGGTACTGAAGGGGAAAGACACTTGTTCTGTCTTTGTCAATTCAGAGGTGTCTGAGCCTCCAAATAGTCATTAAAACATTATACACTGAGATAGTGGTCCTTCTCGGCATCTCAGAATCCTTGGAAAGTGTATGCACAAGTCAAATGGAATGAAACTGAGGCTCAGTAGTCAAAAGGGAGAGAAAATTATGTTTTGCTGTAAAGTCAGACTTTTTTCCAAATAAATGGAAAAAAGTTATTCTTAAATGATTTTCATGGTTGATGGTTATTAAAGGAAGTTTTCTGATTTCTATACTCAGGATGGTCATGCTATAAATATACAACTTCTAATATAAACATATTAAAATTAAATATAAAGTGACTCACTATTTTATTAATTTAAAAGATATTGACTGCTAATAAAAATTCTAATATAGAAAAGAAAATGATTCCACTCCCCTTGTGATGATCTATCATTAGATTGAGGTTTGACAGGGCTTTAAAACCAGTGCCAGCTGACTGACTGTCATCCAAACTGAAAACTAAAACCACTCAGGTTTTGTAGAAAAGCAGTTGGGTTAGAAGTTAGGATTGGATTGAGACTGAACGCACTCTAAAAATAAAAATAACAATGTAAAACCACACTCACCCCTTATCTCTAGCTGAAAATCTACCAGCCAGGAATAATCTTTAAATTATCCTTGCACTTATTAACTGTATGGACTAAGAGGAGATTTTTAAAATGCGAAGACCATTTTGAATTGGCTGAGCCACATGATAAAATTATCTTAGAATATATAACGTAGGAAAGACAGGATTGCAATGACAGGAACTGAAGCAGCAAACAGGATAATAGAATATGATAAACAACAGTAAGTGTTTCTGCATTCATTCTGCTCTTTGACCTTCCCTCAAACTCATGCCTGACTTTTTTGCCATTTCTGCTGATTCCCTAATTGTATCAAGGCTTACTATGCTGCAGGTGCTGTGCTGGACTCCAGGGGCAAAATGAATGAAACAGAATAAAAGTGCCTTTGAAATTGGATCTGTCCAACATATGACTTCTCCATTAATGTGGTCTGCAACATTTGATCCATTAATGAACATCACTTAGCCTCAATTACCTTATCTAAAAATGAAAATGATAACTCATTCTTCTCAAAGATAAGTGAACTACTGTATCTTAATCCCTTAGATTGAACATCGTCTGGCCCATAGTCATTCCACAAATGTTAGAAATATGTTCTTACGTTTCAGAAATTCATTATGAATTTGTCCAAAACCCACACACTAGATCTTAATGTATTATCTTCAAGAAGAGAAATTGCTAAATGAAAATATAAAAGTGTAGCATCATTAGGATTGCAATTTATTCATGTCTGCTATTCAAACCCATATCTAAATCAGTCTCTTTGGTTACCTTCCATAATAAACTAAAAATAATAATAATAATAATAAATAATACTATTATATTATATAATAATAAATTATTATATAATGATAATAAATATAAATAATAAATACTAACGATAAACTAAAAATGAATAAGTAAATTATTGTTTGACCACTTTCTTGCATGCTAGAAGAGTTGTTAGTTAAAATCTGATGAAAGGCTATTTTAGAAAATGTTTTCTCTCTGATAAATGGAAATTTCCCCTTTTCTGTTCAGTCCTTCCTAAGAGTCCAAGATGCTGATGTAAAGATATAATGCCTAAAAGCATAGCAGACATCCTGTAACCAAAGAGCAAGAGCCCAGAGAACTGCCAAGGTGCTGAGCAGGCTCTCCAGCGTCATTGAGACATGCACAGCACTGACAATGCTTAACTCTACATTTTTATGCAAGAGAAAGAAATGTTATTATTGTTTAAGTCAACACTAGTCAGACGATCTGTTATTTAAACTTTAGTCACTCAGCCATTATTTCTTTGAGTATTTCTTTCAGACCCACAATTTTCTTCTCTCTTTCCTGGATGCTGGTAGTACCCATGTTAGATCTTCGTTACAGTCTCCATGGTCCCTCAAGTTCTGTTGGTTTTTTTCTGGTTTATTTTCTCTCTGTTGATCATACTGGGTAATTTTTATGTTTTCAAGTTCTTTGCTTCTTCTCACTATCACCTACATTTTGCTTTTGAGCCCTCCTTTAGATTTTTTATTTCAGTTATCATATTTATAATTTGAAAATATCCATGTGATTCTCTTTTATATCTTAAATAATTTTGTTTTATATATTAAATAATTTTGATGGCTGATGGATATTAAAGGAGGATTTGCGATTTCCCTAGTCAGGATGAACATGCCATAAATATATAATAACTCCTAATAAAAACAAATTTGTATCTTCTATTTCTTGCTGGAATTTACCATGTTTTTGCTAAAACTTTGTATTTTTTATTGGATTAAAAAAATCTTAGAGGCAATGATAGAAAAATGGGAATTCAAATGAGAGTAGATTTCTCATAAATATCTGTGAAGTTCCAGGATAAGTGGCATAATATTGTTCAAGTATAGCAAAAAAAAAAAGTAGGCAAGGGGGCAGTCCATTCAGAATTCTATCATGAAAATATCCTTTAAGAATGAAGGGGAAATCAAGAAATCTTCACGTTTAAAACAAAACTAAAAAAAAAAAAAAAAGAAAGAAACAAAAACCCTAAGAGTTCTGAGATTTGTAACCAAAACACTTATCCTAAGAGAACAGTTAAAGAAACATCTCTAAACAGAAAGAAAACAATAAAAGAGGATATCTTGGAAGATCAGGAAGAAAAGAAGATCAGAGTGAGTTTAACTATGGGGAAACACAGTAGGTTTCTTCTTCTTTTGAGATTTCTAAATCATACCTAATGGTTGAAGCAAAGATTATATAACTAAATATATAAAGATGAAATATTTAAGATAATTATCTTCTAAATAAAAAAGACCAAAAGAATCTGCAAGAAGGTAAGTGTTTTTCACTTCACAGACAATGGTATGATCAGATGCCAATAGATGGCAATAAGTTATCTATAATGTAATATGAAGAACAACTACTAAAAAAAGCCTACAAAGAAATACATATAAAACACTATAGATAAATTATAATGGAATTTAAAAGTATATTCAAGTAATCCACAGGAAAGCAGGATTATAAAAAGAGAAATAAGAAACAGAGGTAAAAAAAGAAAAGAAAAATAAAATGGCAAATATAAACCCTAAGATATCAATAATTACATTAAATATAAGCACTCTAAATATACTAATTAAAAACAGAGATGGCAGAGTGAAATTTACAAAAAACAAAGCAAAACAAAAAAACAGCAACAAACATGACCCAAATGTGAACAAGAAACTGAATTCAAATATTTGAAGGCTGAAAGTAAAAGGAAGGAAAATTTATGTCATACAAATATTAATAAAAAGAAAGCAGGAATGACTATATCAATATCAAATAAAGACTCCAGAGCAAAGAAAAATTACCAGATGCAAGGAGAAACATAGGACCAAAGGGTAAATCTGCCAAGAAAACAGAGCAATCCCAAATGTGCATGTGCCAAACAAAAAAGCTGAAATATATGTGAAACAAAAATTTAATTAAGAGAGATAGACAAATCTATGGAGAATTCAATCCTCTTCTCTCAACAATTGATGAAATTAGACATAAAATCAATAAGGATATAGAAGAACTTACCACCATAGACCAAAGGATCTATTAGACATTTATAAAACATGTCACCCAAGAACAGCAGACGAAACATTCTTTTAAGATGTCCATAAAATAGCTAAGAAGATATACCATATCCTAGGTCATAAAATATTCATGAACAAATTTAAAGTCATTGCAGTTAGAGTAAGTATGTTCTCTAACTACAACGGAATAAATCTATAACAAAAAGAAAACAATAACGAAAAGAAAAATTGCCAAACCCTTGGGAAGTAAACAACACACTTCAAAATAATCCAAGACTGAGAAAACCTTAAGGGAAATAGAAAATACATTGAACTGAGTGAAAATGAAAATAAAAGATGTCAAAAATTGTACTAAAGCAGTGCAGAGGGAGAACTTTATAGCACTAAATGCATATACTACAAAAGAAGACAAATTTCAAATTAATAATCTAAATTCCTACGTCAGTAACATAAAAATGAAGAGCAAAATAAACTCAAAGGAAACAGAAGAAGGAAGGAATAAATATAAAAGTAAAAATCAATAAAAGAAAAAAGAAAACCATAAAGAAAATAAAATAACACCAGTTCTTTGAAAAAAAAATCAATAAAACTAAAACATGTTTAGCAAAACTGACAAAGAAAAATAGAGAGAAGACAAAAACTACCAACATCATAAATGAAACAGGGCATGTCACACAGACTGCAGACATCAAAGACAAAATAAAAGAATACTGTAATTGGGGCCGGGCACAGTGGTTCACGCCTGTAATCCCAGCACTTTGGGAGGCCAAGGCGGGTGGATCACGAGGTCAGGAGATCGAGACCATCCTGGCTAACATGGTGAAACCCTGTATCTACTAAAAATACAAAAAATTAGCCGGGCGTGGTGGCGGGCGCCTGTAATCCCAGCTACTCGGGAGGCTGAGGCAGGAGGATGGCGTGAACCCGGAAGGCGGAGCTTGCAGTGAGCCGAGATCGCGCCACTGCACTCCAGCCTGGACGACAGAGCAAGACTCTGTCAAAAAAAAAAAAAAAAAAAAAAACTATAAGTAATTCTCTACATGTAAATTTCAAAATTTAAGTTAGAAGACCTAATTTTAAAAAACTACAACTCATTCCATATAAGTATCTCATATTTATTAAGAATTTTGAATTTTAAATTTTAAAAAATTTGAGAAATATATCTGTCAGCAGTATCATTTCACTAGAGAATTCTATCAGGAACTTAAAGAAAATATAGCACTCATTCTATACAATCTCTTCCAGAAAATATACTAGTTAATTATTTCCAATCCATGTTGTGAAACTATCGTTACGCTGAAACCAAAACCAGACAAATGTAGTACAAAAAAACAAGAAAAAAAGAACACAGGAGATAAATATATTTTTCAAATATAGATGTAAACATTCTTAACAAAGTATTAGCCAATAGAAACTGCCATTATATGCAATAAATTAAACATCATTACAAACTGGAGTTTATTTCAGCCATTCAAGATTGGTTGTGTATTCAAAAATCAAATAATGCAATCCACCACATTAATAGGCTAAAGGCTAAAAAGGTAACTCAAATAATCATATAATCAATGCAAAAATAGCCTTTGACAAATTGAACCTGTTTTTATGATGAAAATTCTCAGAAGAGATAGGAATAGAAGACAACTTTCTCATCTTGAAAAAGTGCATCTCACACACACACACACACACACAAACACACACACACGATACAGCAAGTTTCATACTTGATAATGAATGACGGAATGTTTTTCCCCTAATATTGGAAACAGGGCCAAGATGTCCCCCCTCATCATTTTTGTTCCACATAGTGCTGGAAGTTTTAGCCGGTGCAGGAAGGCAAACAATGAAAATAAATGTATACAGATTGAAATGGAAGGAATAAAACTGTACTTGTTCGCAAATGGCATGATTTCACGAGTAGATAATCGCAAGCAATTCATACACACACTCACACACACACACTGAAACTAATAAGTGAGTTCTGCAAGTTTCCAACATACAAGATAAAGATACACAAACCAGTTGCCCTTCTGTATAATAGCAATTAACATATGAAGACAAAAATTGAAAATACAGTGCCATTTGTAACTGCTAAGAAAAAAAATCAAGGTGTATTTCTAACAAAACATCCACAAGACTTGAGTGCTCCAAGTGCCCATGTCTGATGAGGGAAATAAAAAAGGATCTGCATAAATGGAGTCATATCATGTTCGTGGAGTGAAAATCCAAGACATAGTAAAGATGTCAATTACCTAAAAACTGATATACATGTTTAACATAATTTTATCAAAATCCAGCAAGATGGTTTTGGACATTAGCTTAAATGGTTCTAAAACGTTTATAGAAAATCAAAGGAATTATCATATATAAAACAACTTAAAAAAAGAATAAAGTAGCAAGAATCAGTCTACCTGATTTCAAGATCTATTATAATATATATGATATAATATATATTGTAATCTATTATAATATATATTCTAATCTATATGATATAATATGTATTATAATCTATTATAATATATATTATAATATATGTGATATAATATGTATTATAATCTATTATAATATATATTATAATATATATGATATAATATATATTATAATCTATAGCAATCAAGGTAATGTTGTATCGATCAAGGGATAAACACGTATTTCAATGGAAAAGAACAGAGAACTAGAAATAAACCTACAAAAATGTACCAAACAGATGTTGGACTCAGTGCAAAAGCAATTCAACTGAGGAAATATGGTGTTTTCAACAAATACTGATTGAACGAGCAGACATTTATTATCAAAGTTATCAAAGTCTCACATCTCCTTAAAAGTTAACTAAAAATGGATCATAAATTTAAATTTAAAATATAAAACTATGGAAACTTTCAGGAAAAAAATAAAACATAGAAAATATTCAGGTCCTAGAGCTAAGTAAGTAGTTCTTAGATCTGACACCAAAAAGACAATAGATAAAAGAAAAGCAAAAGACAAAGTAAATTTCATTAAAATTCAAAAGTTTTGCCATGGTAATGGAATGAAAATACAATATTTGGAGTATGAAAGCACATATCTGGCAAAGAACTATTAAGTTCTTCTGAAAACTTAACAGAAAAATAAACAACCCAAATAGAAAACACATATGAATTTATAATCATCTAACAATAAATACTATTAATACTGATAATGCTATTATGTATATATGTTTTAATTGTTTACAGAAAATCGTATATAATATGTGAAAAGAATAGATCTGAAAGAGCAGTGTTTACTCAAGAAGTGAAATTACTTTTGTATAATCAGAATAGTGGAGCTGTATAAATAATAAGTGAAGCCAAAAAAAATGCAGAAAATGACTGCATGCAATTTGATTGCTGCCCTTTACCATATATCAAAAACGAATTATTCTTTTATATTATTATTTGCTAGGATGCAACATAATTTATTTTATATTTTTTAATTATTATTTTGTCAGGAGAAAATATAAGGTAAAGTTGATACAATTTTGAACTCCAGGAGATAATTTACTTAATGAGAAATAAAAATCTGAAATAAGTAATGGAAATGCAAATGTATGGGAAATGGTGTAAGAGGGTTTTTTTTTTAATTTAGAAAAATAAAATGTATAGGACTTACCTGATTGGGTGCAGTAACTTAAGCATAAAGAGAAATCAGCAATGCTTCCAGATTTGTGAATTGGATTTGTTAGATGTTTGTGCTGCCCAATCAGAAATTAGGTGGAGAACACGTAAAACACAAGTTGGGGAGGAAGAAGGATGTCATCAGCTTCGCATGGTGCGTTGCAGCTCCTGAGGCTTACTTAGCGGGGAACATTTGATATAATACATTTGTATTCTGAAGCACTGTTTATATGGTGCAGGATACATCTGTGATATTGAAAGCCAAAACTTCTTGATAAATAATGTCGGAAATTTGTCCAAGTGGGACTCAGTTGCTTCTGTTAAATAATGCATAGTTAGGAAAAAAATGATTTGAAAAGATGAGCAAATACAAGTTTTGGACATCAACTTATTTGCTAATAATGATTGTCTGCTGTTCTCAATTATTGACCAAACAAAATTGAGTAGCTGGAAGCTGCCGATGGCATGAAGTGCTGGAATAGCTGAGGGAGAGTTCTTGCAGCCGTTGAGAGTGTATGTCTGGTTCCTTGAGGCTTGCTCTGAATTACTGTAATGAAAGTCATCAATCCTATTTTCAGATATGAGCACTGATTCTTCCTCTGTTTATAAAAAGCCCTGGAATCTGCATCCTCAATATAAGTAATGCTGGATGACCAGTAGAGATGGAGTTTTAAATATTTTAAGAGAAAAAAAAAAAACTGCATCCCTACTTAGGAGCTGGATTTCATGATTCTGTCTGTATAATAGTTTTAATCTTCTTTCTGTGTTGCCTTCCTTCCTGAACTGTCCAATTTTTAAACTATCAATCCTGAACAGAAACTCTCCAGGCCGTATTATCCAACCCTGATGATGTGCACAGGCATTAAAGTTTCCTATTTCCATATAAATGGTGCCATCATTTCTAGCTCATCTTCCTACCTGGCTTCACTGCTTCCTCATTCAAACTCTCCCACACAGTGTCTCGACATTCTAAAGGCACTTCTGATTATATCCCATCCTGCCAAGAATCTTTTCATGCTTCCTTATTTTGTTTACATAATAAATTATTCTTCATGTCAGTGAAAGCTGTGTACTATAGTCCGAGCATGATTTTCCTATTTGCATTCCTATCCGTTCCGTAATACACTTTTTCTAGCCTAGTTAAAGTTTTTATTCTACCCAGAAAATTCCATGGGTATCCTATCTCTTGACTTTGCTCATATTGTCATGTCCACCTAAATTACTTCTCTCTCTTTCCATTGTAGTCTTATTCATCTTGCAGTCTAAACCAAAAGCTTTCTGAGTTTTTCCCCAATTTTCTAAACAGAAATATGTTGTTTTTAGTTTTCAATACTGCCTCACTTATGTATATTTCTGTCATAGAATCTGTCATATTCTTTTATGTGTTAAACTGTGCAGATATTCAAATATTCTACTATTTCAGCATGAACTCTGAGGAGGCTTGCTATAATCTTACACGACTGCTGAAGTTCTTACACATAGCAAACCTTTAATAAATGCTGAATGAGTTAAATTAGTATCTATAATAGAGTCCTTCCCTAAATGTCATATATCTCTCTAGAGGTATGTTATGTTCTGTCATTTAATGTTCTCTATTTCCAAATACTTAGAGGGCACATTTCAATGGGTTTTTAGTTGTTGTTGTTGTTGTTGTTTGTTTGTTTGTTTTTGAGATGGAGTCTTGCTCTGTTTCCCAGGCTGGAGCACAGTGGCGTGATCTCGGCTCTCTGCAAACTTCACCTCCTAGGTTCAAGCAATTCTCCTGCTTCAGCCTGCTGAGTAGCTAGGAGTCCAACAAGTAGCTTGTAGGGGTCCAACAAGATGCCTCACTAATTTTGTATTTTTAGTAGAGACGGGGTTTCTCCCTGTTGGCCAGGCTGGTCTTGAACTCCTGACCTTAGGTGATCTACCCGCTGCAGTCTCCCACAGTGCTGAAATTACAGGCATGAGTTGCCACACCTGGCCCATTTTAGTTTTTTTAGGACAGAAATGTTGGAGTCATTATTGAGTCTTCATTCAAAATTATAGTGTATAGACAAATCTCACATAAGTTAGACCCTTCTTTGAAGTATCTCACACTTATTCTTTATTTAAAAAAAAAACTGTTTAATTTTATTTTTAGAGATAAGCTCTCCCTATATTGCATAGGCTGGACTGAAACTTCCAGGCTCAAAAGATTCTCCACCTCAGTCTCCCCATTAGCTGGGTCTACAGGCATATACCTTGGTGCCAGGCTTGATCATAGGCTCTTCATTGTAACCACCTTTGTAATTTTCATAGTAAATAAGGAATAGAGGAGAAAAGGCTGCTTCGTACTAGATGTATTTACTGGTCAGGGATCTGCCATTCTCATCATCCTATGTGAAGAAGTTTCATTTAGATCCCATCTAAAGGGACATCTCTAGTTGGTGATTGGATCAGTCCATTTTCATACTATTATAAAGAACTGCTTGAGACTGGGTAATTTATAAAGAAAAGAGTTGTAATGGAATCACAGTTCTGTATGGCTGGAGAGGCCTCAGGAAACACATTCATGGAGGAAGGGGAAGCAGACACACTTAAGGTGTGGCAGCAGGCCAGAGTGAGCGTGTGAGAGAGCAGGAAAAACTACCATTTATAAAACCATCAGATCTTGTGAGAATTCACTCACTCTCATGAGAACAGCATGAGGGAAACCGCCCCCATAGTCCAATCATTTCCACCAGGTTCCTCCCTTAATGCCTGGGGCAAGATGAGATTTGGATGGGGACGCAAAGCTAAACCATATCAGCCATATTTTAAATCATACATTCTAGTCCTCCACAAAACACACCAAGAAGAAGGGTATGAATCTGATGCAAGGACAGTTAATATACAGAAATATCAGTGACCAATGATTGATCTTGTACGAAACGACAAACTAGCCTAATCGGATGGATCCCGTCATGTGGGAGTTTGAAGAGAGAAACAGAAATCAAATAGGACGGTTAAGTTCAGAAACTAAAACAGAGAGGGAGCCATAGTAAATCGCTGATATGATGAATCGTAGAAATAAACTGTGAGGCAAAGAAAACATATAAAAGGTAGACAGTAAGGAAGATAACTCAGAATAAGGGAGAATGGAACACAGCCAGGGGGAACGGCAAAAATGAATTAATCATGGCATAAGAAAAACATCTACGCAGTACTGCAGCTGTGCTTCCTAGAACTGTGTCCTTCTCTGAAATCTCCTCCACAGTCAGTATCCATTAGAAACTGTTCTAATGCTATTTTTGTCCAGTAGAAGCTCAAGGTGTTTGATTTGTCTTTGTTTCATTGTATAGGTGCTATAAAAAATTCTCCTTTATTTGAGATATTTCATTATTTTTTACTCCTATCAGCAAAGAAGTGAAAAAAAATGAGTAACCAACAAACAAACAGCCCCACTGAACTCCATAGCAGAGGTTTTCACATTTTTTTGCAAGTTGAAATCGCCCAGAAAGCCATTCAAACTCTTGATGTCCAGATCAGGTCAGTCTCACTATCAATTACATTTAAAACTCTGGGGCTGAGATCTATGAGTATTTTTTTTAACTGCCTAGTTGAATCCAATGTGAGACCGCATTTGAGGCTCAGGGCTTTCAAGAAGTAGTTTTCAAACAGCATGTATCAGAATCAGCTGTAGAAATTGTTAAAACAGCGTTGAGTCCCCTTGTCAGGTTCCAACTAGAAAGTAATTCCTACATCATCTCTAAATGAAGAATGTGGTCACCTCACACAATTTATGTTCATTGCTTGCAATGATTCCTCTGCTACTCTCATTTTCTTTAAATTTATAACTAGAGATAGATCCCAGCATTCACAGTGGGGGCAAAGAGAAAATCTAACCTGGAATAAAAAAGAATGTGCATCAACAAATTTCAAGTCTTTGCTAATGTCTTTTCATAGACATTTATGGAATATATATAAGAATGGATTATGGCTGCACACGCAAAAGAAGGAGAAACATAATTTTAGACATGGCTTAAGTTACTAGCATTGCGCAATTGACCAAGATCCTAAATTTAACATTTTACTTTGACCAAATGAGAACAGTGCTGCTATTTATATGATCAGTTCAACATGCCTTAATGAGTTTGAGATGACAGAGATGTCTTCATATGCAGAAGAACAAGTGCATATGCTTAGTGATATATAAGATTTCATTTATCATGCGTTACCTGTTTACCAACTTCTGAACTATATACCTTTAGAGGAAACAGAACATGCCCTTCATCAAGGTACTGAGAAACACATCACTAAAAACTGTTAAAAATAACGACGATTCTATATGAAATGTCTTCTCACAGTAATTAGATGAGAGATTCTTCTATTATAATACTGAAGATGATGAAATTCCAGAGTAATAGAGACAAGGTGGTAGTGTGAACCATTAGTGTCGTTATCCTAACAGAACAGGAGATGACTGTGGAGGGTGTTTGTTGGTGGCTGGTTTATCATGGAGTCTCTACATCTGAAGTACATAGCAGATCACTAAGAAGATACGTGAACTGTATAATGGGGAAACGTAAACGTCCAGGTGTAATGAAGGAAGTCCTGATTGAAAACACCATGATGGAGAATCATAGCTCTTCAATGCTGACCTATATCCAAGAACTGAGATGTTTGACAGTTCCTGAGACTTCTGAGTGAACGGAAACCTTGAAATATTTGAATAATCTTGTTTATTACCACACATTTCTGTGGTAAGTTGTCTTCCAAATCTTCTCTAAGGGTAACTGAAGCTATTTATAAAAATAATCAATGACCTGAAGAAACGTTAATATGCAATCCTTTTAAAGATTATCAGCACTGGCTCAGAGCTAATACTAATTTCTGAGAATCTAGTATAAAATTGTGACCATTTGCTTAACGTATGGCCTTGTGGAGATTAGTTTCAAAAAGTAAAATTTGGCATGGGTCCATCTAACAGTAGATCAAGAAGATTCACAAACCTAAATTTCATATTGCAATTAATTTTCAAGTTCCTTGAGGTATAGTTGAAAGAGACTTTTTTTTTTCAGTGGCAGGTTCTGGCATTAGCTACATGAAACCTGAGTGAGAACTATTAGCAAATGTATGAGGAAGAAGAAATCCCCAGACTGTAGCTCCTTTTAAAAATAGCTACGTTCAAAGAATTGTCACATCTCTGGGGGATTTTCAAGGATTAGTGCCTCATCAAAGAACTTAAAGATGCAAGGGTGATGAATCCTATTACATTTCCATTAATTCATGTTTGCCTTTTTCTTAAAAAATAGTCTTTAATAATGAGAAATCATTATTATAAAGTTAATCCACTGGTGATGTGTACTACAGGTGCTCTTTTAAATATGTTCGGTTTTCTCCCCACAGGAGTAAGTTAACAGAAGCCTTGACCTCTGATACATGGCTATGGATGGAACAGGTGCTTTTTTTTTCCTCTATCCAAATATGCATGAAATCCAGGAAGTAGATTTATTTCACCTGGCTGGGCCAGTAGTATACGTTCTCTTGTTTGTTTTAGATATATGTCAACACTCCAGATCTATGTCCACATTCAATACCTAGGGATCTTAATATTGTGAATTTCTCAAAAGATTCATCCTGGTCCACAACATTGATGGCCTCAAGTATCTGGTAAATGACAAATAAAAGGTATCTTGGATTCCTTAAAAAGCCAAATGTGCACTATAGGTTGAAAGATAACCTGCCTACATCTTCAGTAAAAATTTCTGGGAATTTATTTTTATTGTGCACGTGAAGCAATCCAGTCTGAAATGAAACATCAGTCACTGATCTTGTACCCTGTAGCAGACGTTGTCAGTAACCGGGCAGGTCATCTCCACACACAATTTCTAATCATGCTGATGCTTTTCTATTGCAAGCACCAAAAAGTTTATGCCTGAGGTTATTCTCTAGTTGAAGAATTCTTAATTGCCATCAGGTTGGAAGCAGCGAGAATTATTTTCACCTAGGGAAGCTTTCAAAGAATAATGGGCAGAAGTCGGTTTATACACACCCTTGTTTTCACATCTCTTCTGGGATGACTCTAAGTGATGTTTTGCAGTGTCCAGTGATCCACAGCAGGATGGCAAAAGCCTAACCTGTGTTAGCGACTTTCTTATTTCTGTAAAATTTTCCCATTCCTCTATCAATTCTTCAGAATCCTAGAGCAACACAGAGCTTGTTGCTTGTGATAAATGTATTGATGATAACCCTAGCATGATAAAGCATCACAATTATTAAGATGATCATCTATGTGAGATAATTGATAAATGGTAGATGTGTAAGATGATGTGTTGATTTATGCAACAGCATTGACATTTGAAATATGGGAGTAAGAGTTACTACACAGATTGAGAAACGTTACTATACAGAAGATAATTGTTGTTAGTGGCCATAGAAATACCGATTGAAAAGCATACTTGTTTTAGATCAGCCAACTTTCAACTTAAGGAATACTGTGAAAGTCAAACAATTTCTCTGTTAGTGCCTTGGCAACCAGAGGTCAGATTGAGTGAAGATTTCACTTTAAAGGTGGCAGACTTATGAACAAGGTGGACTTAACAACACTGTCACGGTACTGAGCTAAAGTCAGGGCCCAGATAGGAAAGTTGTGGGGCCTTGAGATTTGGGATTGGGGCATTGTGATGAATATGTTTCCTTTTGAAGTTTAAGTTCCTAGATGTCCCCACACTCCATACTGATGGAAGTGGTTCCCTTCCATTTACAAGAGTAAAGCAGGTTTCAATTTCCTGTAGATTATTTAAACGTCTCACCTGGACAGAATGTCTTAAAAGATGTATTTGTCTTTTCAAGAATCCTAACCCTCCTCTTTACCTTTCTTATTGCTGGTGATGACTGATTGAGGTGCCACTAGAAGAAAAACAGGGTAGGCAGTCAACAAGAATATAGTTTAAGGTATACAAGCAAACAATCATCAAAATCTGCTACATAGAATGCTGATGCCAGCCATTATAATAGAAAGCACCAATATTTTATCCACTTTCAGGAACTGAGCTAGTTCTATGACCTGGAACCAGTCCATTGAAGGAGAGGCTTGGCCCTATAGATCCTGAAATGGCACAGCAAGAATAGAAAGTACTGTAACTCCAGTCTTTCCCCAAATGAGCCGATGATCATTTGTTAAAGTAATTGTTCAGTGAGGAGATAGAATCTATCCAACTCTGTTGAGAGCATTTAATAAACGATCTGAACTGATATTGACAACAGAGGACCGAAAACTTCATCATAACCCCAATTAATGTGGGGCTACATGAACTAGACATAAATAAAATTCTGACTTGAGTTTATCTCACAATGGGCCCAGCTGGTATTTTAGCCCATCCTATAGACATCACCTTGGCCTCTGAATGTAAACTTGGGGCAGATGTAGTTATCAATCAGAAGAACCTTTACATTGGGTCCCTGCCATGTTAAATAAGTGTCTTTTTGGCAGTAAAAGCCACAATGAAACCCCTACAACTCCTCTTCTTAGCCAAGATAATTAATTGGCAGCAATATCATATTTTATGTGGAATACCAGAGATTAACATCATACTTAAAGGCTTAAAAAATCCAAGGTTAATATGGTTCCTAGTGGCATGTACCAGTGCAGTATTTGCAAAATTCAGCTGATTTTTGATAGATGAATGTAAACAACCATAAATATGCCAAGTGGCAGGTGAAATCACAGCTACTGTGCCAAACGTGCTACCTTTACAAGAACAGAAGAACATAGTCTCTGGTTCTCTGAATGTGGCTATTGACTTGGCAATACACATATATATCAGGTGCATACACATATATATCAAGTAACTTTGAGCTGCTTTTGATCTTCCTGCTTATGGGGATTGAAAGAATGCATTTGCCAACTCAATAGCCACAGAGAACCAGATACTATGTCCATCTGTTCTTGTAAAGGTAGCACATTCATGTATATATATCATATATATACATATATATGATACATATATACATCCCATATATACATATGTGTGTGTGTATACACACACACACACACACACACACATATTGGTTCTGTCTCTCTGGAGAACACTGAGCAATACAAAGCCTATGACTTGTCTTGCTGTTTTTCTTAACAATACCTTTAACAGAGAAGTTTTTCATTTTAATGAAGTCCAACTTATTAATGGATTGCGATTTTGGTATCACATCTTAAAAGACAATGTCAAATGTAACACCATCTAGATTTTCTCCTATTTTATCTTCTAGAAATGTTACAGCTTTGCATTTTACATTACGCCTAAGATTCATTTAAGTTACTTTTATGACAGATATAGTGGCTGAGTCTAGATTCTTTTCTTTTTGTACATAGATGTCCAGTTGTTCCAGCATCAGTTGTTGAAAATGCTATATTTCTGCCATTGTATTGATTTTTCTCCTTTGTCAAAGATCAGTTGACTGTACTGACCTGCTCTGTATCTATATCGGGGCTCTATGTGAGTCTCACTAATCTATTTGTCTATGCTTTCCTCAATACCACACTTCCTTGATTACTGCAGTTTTACAGAAAGTGTTGCCTTTGAGCGGTGCCTTTTCTTCTTCTCGTCTTCTTGCTTTTTTTATATGACGTGTTGGCTATCTTGGATCTTTTGCCTTTCCATATACAGGTTAGAATCAGTTTGTCCCTATCCACAAAATAACTTGCAGGGATGCTGATTGAGATTAAATGGAATCTATAGATTATATTGAAACAAATGGACAAATAAAAATATTGAGCCTTCCTATCCATCAACATGTAGTGTCCTTAGATCTTATTTGATTTGTATTATTAGAGTTGTAAGTTTCCTCATCTTGTAATATCACAGGATACAGAATTCTAAATTGTTGTTTCCGTGTTTTCCTTTTAATACTTTAATTATTTTCTTCCACTCTCTTCTTGCTTGCATGGTCTCTAAAGCGTGGTCCCATGAAATTTTTATTCTCATTCCTCTGTACGTAAGGTGTCTTTTCTTTCCCTAACTTCTTTGAAGATTTTCTGTTTGTCTTTGATTTTCTGCACTTTGAACATGTTATGCCTAGGTAGAATTTTTGGTATTTATCCTCATTGGTGTTCTCTGATTTTCTTGGATCTTGGATTGTTTCCCAGTCTGGAGAAGGCTTATTGTAAATACCAGAACTTAAATGCCGCACTGGAACTTAACAGCACACATGCAGTGATTTCCTCACCTGGCAAACACTTAAGTGAGCACTGGAACTTAATTGCTGACCTCTTAGTTGTTTCTGGGTGAGGGGAGGGCTCCAAACAGGATGAGCTGTGTGGGAAATCTGGGCAGGGATTCGCAGTTTCCCAGGGCTCATCCCCTGCTCCTCTGTGGAGCTGGCCAGTCTCCTCAGCATGGCTCCCATGGTAATCATGAGCAGGGCAGCTGCCCCGATCTGCATGCCATCTGCTGTGATTGTACCACCCACTCTCGTCTCCAGGTCTTCCCACCCAGTGGTTTAGGCCTTACTGAGGCTCCCATGGAATGGGACCAGAACACGCTTTCTGTGAAGTTTCCCAGACAAGGGTGGGCAGATCAAAAGTGCACTTCCCATTCCCTCCTTCCACCTCAGAGGCCATGGATCTAGGGATGTGGCCAGCTTGGAGGAGGAAGTGGCATGATCTAAAATGACCATTCTTCTTACTGGTTATGGCTTTTCCAATTTCTCCAGAACCAGGATTTTTTTTTTTGCTTCTTCTGCATGTTCTGGTGAATTCAGCGTGACAGTCTTGTCTTTTGGTAGTTGCTAGTTGTACTTTTGTTGGGAGGAATAATGATGAGGTCTTCCATTGCAACTTCCTGCTGACATTGTTCTGCTTTTCTTCTTATAAGGACACTAGCCACTGGACAAGTTCACACCTTAATCCAGTGTAACCTCATCGTTACAGATTTCATCTGCAAATACCCTATTTCCACATACTGTGAATGTGAATTTCACATTCACAAGCCCAGGGTGTGTTTAAGAACTTCAACATATCTTTTGGGAAACACAGTTCTATCTGTAACACAGGCTATCCTCTTGGGTATGAAATCCAATATTGAAAATTAATGGATAATGACAGCAACACAATACAACCAGTATTGCCTTGGGTTGAGGATGTAAGAATGAAGTTTTGAATCATTCATGTAAAGAATTCATCCAAGTGAATTATCCATTTGCTTATGGGAAAAAGAATACAGAATAAACAGTGAATAAAGTTATAAATAACAACAATGGCCTCAAATAATTGTGGAAAATAAAAATTTATTGTTTTCTTCTCACTTTTCTATATAACAGGATATGATAAATGTTGTTAGTGGTTAGCTGCATAGATTTCATAACAGCCAGGCAGAAACAGAAGACAAAGGATACTGCTGAGACTGACACAGGGATTGACGGGATCTGGGCTCTTTTCTTTGTGAGAATGAGTCTCTTCTTATTAATAATATTAACTTTTAATTTTTAGGGAAGAGTGAGATAGTGCTGTATTTCCTTCAGGATGAGTAAGAAAAACATTTCTGGTTGTTAAACAGCCACAGGACTGTGGTGGATGCTCCATGACCTCACATCCACACTCCCGTTTCTTTCTTTTAAGCAAAGGGTGGAGAGAAAAAAACCTATATTCTCAGACCTCATTAGAGACTGCATGCTTTCCTTCCACTCTTCATTCATACCTGGGTTATGTGATGTTGTGACCTTCAAGACAAACGTGTGGTCCTGGAGCTGGGAGCGGTATGCCGGCTCCCCACCTTAGCAGACGCTCTGTCAGCGGAGAGTCTGGAGCTCACCTGGAAACCCAGATCTATGCTGAGACTTTTGAAGTTGTTTCTGGAAACTCAGCCCATCTGTTCCTTCATCACACCCCCACACTTCTGCGTGCCATTTAATATCTTACAGAACGGACACTTGAACAACATGGGTTTGAACCGTGCAGGTCCACTTATACCCAGATTTTTATTTTAACCAAGTGAAAATGGAAAATACAGTATTCATGACATGCAAAACCCACATATACAGAGGGCCAACTTTGCATATACATGAGTTCCAGAGAGCCAGCTACAGGACTTGAGCATGCACGAATTGTGGTACACTTGGAAAAACGCATCATCCCACCCAAACCAAGGGATAACTATAATTTATGTCTTTCTATTTAAACTAGCTGGAGGGAAATCTGTTCTCCACAGCTTAACTATGACCAGTACAAGGTGTCTTTACTGTGTGTCTGGTACCTTTGCTCCTTTTGTTAGAACAAATAGAGAGTGGTAATCCAGAATTTGAGTTTGTGGAAGAAAATGTGATTTCTATGATATCCTTTTAAGCATATTTCTATGCTTTCGGGAGGTAACATAGAGCCTGTATTATCCCTCATGGGAAAATTTCTTATTTCATAAATAGGGATACAATTTGATTATTGCAATATCAATATATCTTTTTCTAAATATATCTTTTTTAAATTTTAAATCCACCCAGAGTCTTGGGAATGCCTCTTATATTGAATGCTACAGTAAAGCAGCTTAAGTAAATTGTAGAGCTGAATGTGATGAACTTGATTAAATAGATAGCATTATTGTTGATGTAGTTTTATTTCAGTGAATTCATCATATAAGATAATACGATTAAGCCTATAACCATTTTATTATTTCCTGAACACTTTGATGCCTGGGACTTCAGACATAATAGAATTAAACCAGAACTTTTTTTTTTCACTTAAATGATACATCAAAGGCTTAATAATGATGTTGAAGTGTAAGGAACTAGAGCTTATGTTTGGGCCATTAGCTAGTAGTGGGTGGTTTGAGACAATTTTGATAGAACGAAAAACGCAAAGGAAGATATGAGTTGCAATTTATAGAGAGATCAAAAAAGTCAGAGGGCATTTGATATACAATTGTCATTTAAGGGGTTTGGCATGAAACCTGAAAGGACAGTGGAATTATTGGTCTTCAGTGTCCTCAGCTTCTCACTTTGCACTCAGGAGAAAATCAATCTCATGTTCTTCCACTCTCCGTAACTGCAGACCCCATCTTCAGCTAGATAGAGCTTATCCCTGGCTCTCCTCAAATTGGTTCTTTTGTTTCCTTTCAGTCTCCTTTACTGTCTCAATTCTGTGCTCTCCATTATTTATACTCTCCTCAAACCCAAGGGTCCGTGTGGAGATGCCCATAGGAAACAAGGGGAGAGATAATTTTCTAAACTGACTCCGGGCAATTTAGCCTGGCTTAGCAACGCTGCAATCTCGCATAAGCTGAAAAACAATTGAGAACAATTTCAATAAATAACTTTATAGATGAATCTGTTTCTTCCTAGAAATGACTTCTATAGACAACAGAGTTCGACTTTCGAAATTAGTCATTTAGCTGGGGACTTTGGTAATTTACTTAGATCACAATTTCATCACTATTCAAACACAGTACTCCCTAAGTTAAGCACACTCGTTGCATCAAAACTTTAATGCCAGCAACACTGAATAAAATCCAGCAAAGAATTATGATGGGTAAAAGTAAACAAGTGCCTTGTATTTTAGGCAGGGATTTTCTTTGCCACCTGCAACCTATGGCAAGGCATTTTAATTTTGTGTTGCCTATGCTGCTTAACGTGTTGCATCATTTTTTGTTTGTTTGTTTTTTGTTCTGTTTTGTTTTGTTTTTTGAGATAAAGTCTCACTCTATTGCCCAGGCTGGAGTGTACTGGCGCAATCTCGGCTCACTGCAACCTCTGCCTCCCAGGTTCAAGTGATTCTACTCCCTCATTCTCCCGAGCATCCAAGACTACAGGTCCATGCCACCACGACCAGCTAATGTTTTGTATCTTTTAGTAGAGACGGGCTTTCACCATGTTGGCCAGGCTGTGGATCATGGTCTTAAATACCACTGGTTATAAGGGAGATAGCAAGAGTAGGGTACTTACTTAACTTTTATTTTAGGTTCAGGGGTACAAGTGCAGGTTTGTTACATAGGTAAGCTTGTATCATGGGGGTTTGTTGTACAGATTATTTCATCACCCTGCTATTAAGCCTAGTACCCATTAGTTATTTTTCCTGATCTTCCCCCTTCTCCCACCCTTCAAAAGGTCCCAGAGTGTGTTGTTTCCCTCTATGTGTCCATGTGTTCTTATCATTTAGCTCCCACTTATAAGTGAGAACATGTGGTATTTGGTTTTCTGTTTCTGTGTTGGTTTGCCAAGGATAATGGCCCCCACCTCCTTCCATGTCCCTGCAAAGAAAATGTTTTTGTTCTTTTTTATGGCTGCATAGTATTCAGGAATATAAATCATTCTATTTTAAAGACACATGCACGTGTATGTTCATTGCAGTAGTTGTCACAATAGCAAAGGCATAGAAACAACCTAAATGCCCATCAATGATAGGCTGAATAAAGAAAATGTGGTACCTTTTGCACATTTTGCAGTAGACTATTTTTGCACATTTTGCACATTTTGCAGTAGAGTATTTTTAATGCTCCCTTATTTATTAACTCAAGATTCAGAAAAGAAAAAAAGATTAATTAGTAAAACATGTACAATAGTAAAAGTGAGAGAGGAAACAAGTTATTTTAGGAAATATTAAATAAGAGAATTTAAAACAAAGACATTGAACAGAAACATGTAAGATCCATTTTATATATTTTCTTAGCTCTGTCCAGCCATGGTTTTCTGCCTGACGTTATTGATTTCTTCCAGGAAGGTCAGCTAACATTAAACATGATGTTCATGATTAATTACAACACCTCAGAGAGGAGCTGTTGGTCTTAGTTGGAAGGAGGATCATTGAGCAGTGTCACCTCATGAGACAGAGGCCATGGACCTGTGGTCCTCTGTTTGCTCAGCCAGTCAAGCCTACTGCTGCCTGGCCCCTGGTCTCCCACAATGCTCATGGCAGCACTGCCTGCACAGAATCTGCCTCCTTAGGAGCTGAGCTCCAACTGCTCCCCCAGCACATGTAACTAACTCTGGGCACCAGCCTTAAGAGACCCAAGGCATGCAGCTGCTGGACTCTAGAATCTGGCTTCGTTTGGTGGCTCCCAGATCGGTTAAGTACTGCAGATTGGAAGTGTGTAAAGATGCACACAAACTATCGTATATGGATGCTGGCAGAAAAATACAAATCTCTTCCTCCCTAAAGACAGACTTTTTGATGTGCAGTAATGCAATGCACAGGTTTTCTCTGCAAATGTCCAGCAAGGCCCAGTAACATCTGCCTGTTTTGCAAGCTGCAGAACGTCATGCTGCACGCCTTACATTGGCTCTTCTTTCTTCTTCCTGTCTCATTCCCACCTTGCTCTCACTTCCTGCTTCCCTAGGATTACATCCTTCAATGAAATGTTAGCACATAAAATTTTGCCTCAGGATTTGTCTTCTAGGAGAACTAAGCTAAGGCAGAAAGGCGGTAACAAAGATGCTTAATGAGGAAATCTTAAAGAAGTGAGCATAAGGCCTAACACCAAAGTGTTAGGAGAAAAAGTAATATGAATGAACTGCTCAATTAATTAGACATGAAGAAAACAGAAAAAAGGGCTTACAAATGTAAAGAACTAAAGGTAAAACATGAAGTAATGAGAGCAAAAAGTTATTATTTTCTTTTATTCAATTTCTTTTTCTTTCCTCCAGATCTATTACTAGTTAGTATTTGAGATAATTCAGTGATACTTCTTACTTTCTCAATTTCCCATTAAAGGCTCTTTTTCAAACATTGGCAAGAAATAGAGGTAAATATAAATATCTCTCAACTTGATAGAAATTTACACCAAACTTTTACTTTGTATTAAAAACATTTCGCTTACTCCAAAGAGTCAGATTAGTGTTGCTAATTGAGTTTTTACTGAAGATTTTGTAATATTATATACTAATTTATATTCCTAAATGCGGTGCTCATAAATTTTATTTTTATAAATGTAAAAATATACCTTACAATAAACTTTAAAAAAATTAGGTTAGAAAACATGCCATAAGAAGAACAAAAACAAGAATAACAAGAAAAACATGTAGAGTTTTCTAGTATAAAACAGCTGAATTAAGAACATTTTTTCTCCTTTTCCCAGAAATTATTCTAAAATAATAATAAGTATAAAAAAGAGAAACAAAGCTCAATTTTTGCCTGCAGTCCCTGCCCTAACAATGTGAGAAGGCCGCACAGTTCTTTTACTGTATCTCACCTTTGCGGGAGCTCCTGTGAGTTGCAGGGAATCTCACTTCCCAAGCCTCCTTGCTGGGTGTAGAAATGCAACTAAACCGTAAGAAACATGAAGGGATATTACCTTACATCTGTTAGAATGACTATTAGTTAAAAAGAAAAGATAATAAGTTTTGGCAAGAATATGGAAAAATCGGAACTCTTATACACTGTTGGTGGGAACATAGAATTGTGCAGCCACTATGGGAAACAGTACAGAGGTTCCTCAAAAAAACTAAAAATAATCTACCATATGATTCGGCAATCCTGCATAGGGGTATATATCCAGAAGAATTGAAGTCAGGATCTTGTGCTATCTGCACTTCCATGTTTATTGCAGCAATATTCACAAGAGTCCAGATATAGAAATTACCTGATTGTTCACTGATGAATGAATGGAAAAGCAAAATGTAGTTTATGCAAACAATGCAATATTATTCAGCCTAAAAAGAAGAAAATCCTTTCACTTACAACAACATGGATGAAAACCAGAAGACATTACGGTTAATTAAATAGGCTAGGCACAGAAGGACAAATACTGCATGATTCCACTTATATGTGATATGTAATATATGTAATGTAGTCAAACTCAAAGAAATAGAAAGTGGAAAGGTGGTTTCCAGGGGCTAGGGTGAGGAAAATGGTGAGGTCTTGGTCAAAGGATACAAAATTTCAGTTAGCAAGATCAATAAGTGATGGAGAGTTGTTATATGAAATACCACCTTCAGTTAACAATATGACATTATGCTTTTTAAAATATAAGAGGATAGATTGCATGCTAAGTATTTTAATCATTAAAAAAAGACAAAACAAAAGCAGATAAAAACAAAAAAAAGCCTTTGGAGGTGATGGATGTAACGATATCATGGTATATAGCCATGATACCATTACTACAATCAAGAGTGTGTTAATTCCCATATAATTGTGAATTTTCCAGTTTTCCTTCCACTATTAATTTATCATCTCAGTCCCTTATGATCAGAAAAGACAGTTTGTATTGTATCAACCTTTTAAATTTTTTAGACATTTTTTGTGGCCTACTATATCATGCATCCTGGAGAATATTCCACGTGGATTTTCAAATAATGTGTTTTGCTCTTGTTTGGCAGAGGGTTCTGTGTGTGTTTGGCTTAGTGTGTTGATCAAATCCTCTATTTTTTTTTTATTTATCTTCTGTCTGGTTGTTCTATTCATTATTTAAAGTGGGGGATTGAAGTCTAGAACCGTTATTGTAAAATTGTCTCTCTCTCTCTTTAATTTTGTCAATTTTTCTTTCTGTATGTGTATCTGTTTTTATGTGAGCAAATGTCCATAATTGTTATATCCTTTTGGTGTATTGAACCTTTTATTAATATATAATGTCCTTCTTCATCTCTTATACATTATTTGATTTAAAGTCTTTTCTATCTTTTATGAGCTTTTATGCTTTATCGAGTCTTGCCCACCAATTTCCCACTTGAGTTGAAAACAGAGATCAGCTCCTTGCATCATTCTTTCAAGTGTACTCTTCAGACAGATGAGAACCAATGCACATAATGATTGCAAATAAGGCCTGCTCTGCTCCCTCTGATTCAAGGGAGCACCTGGAGGAGGCCACTACTCCTGCTCCATCAGCAACAAGATGACCGCCACATCAAGAAGGTGTTGGGTCTAGGGAAAACAAAAATGCTGTAAATCTTTCTACCACTTTCAAGGAATTGTTTTTCTTCCTTGGGCTTTTGCTTGATTACTCTGAACCTTTGTTTCCAGAGCCCCCACAAAGGTGGTCCTGCTTCTCTTGTCAGTGATCGCGTAGAACAAGAAGTTCGCAGCTTCCCTGGTCGGCCATTCTGCTTGCAGCGCTTCAAGAATCTACTTTTTGAGACAAACTTTATAAAAGGATTTGTGTAAAGGCAAAAGGAAGCAGATGAAACTCACACTCTGCCCCAAAGAAAACTGTATTAACTTACCACATTAAAAACATATGTATTCTTTAAATAGCTATTGAAGGAGTAGACTGAAAATAACCAAAACGAACACAGAGGAAGTAAATCAAGAATGAGATGTGGGAATAAAAGAGTGACACACATTTTCCCTGGAAAAATGTCATGCAAAAAGATAATAAAGAATGGCATACAATACGTTTGGGTTTATAAATGGCAAAACGTTCAATTCAATGCTTTCACCTCTTTTATATACAAAACTTTAAGGGAGGTGCAGAAATGAGTAATATTAATCTTCTTTTCCTTCGCATATGATGATAACTTAGATCAGTTCATTTTATTTTTTCTCCCGTTTGGTTTAATTTTAATCTAAAGTAGAGGGAAAGCTTGTAAAAGACGAAGTGCCTCCAGTCTCTCACTTCCTTCTGTGTCAAGAGCTGTGACGCTCTTTAGCAACCTGTCAGGTTTTAGTAAGTGTAGTTGAGTGAGAGGGAGGTGATAAAGCAGGAGGCCTGTTTGGGAAGAAAGAATCTCACCGCTTAATTCAAATATGTTTAAATAGCAATATCCAATGTCAGCTTGGAGAGATGGTACCAGCCTTTCAGAAATACTGCCATGGGAACATGAATGGATATACTTCAGTAAAAACGTAACAGCACACAGAAAACTTTAATGATGTAGATTGACGGGACTCTCCCTTCTTAGTATTAATTTTCAGGAAATAATCTAAGAGGTAGAGGAAGCTAAGATATGGCACGTATAATGCATGTACTTACATTTGAGCAGTATGAACTTGTGTGTGTATGTATGTGCATGTGTGTGAACTGTTAGAAACTGAAAGCAACCCAGTAAAAAGGGATTTTTAAATTGTACTAGATCTGAACAGTAAAATGCTATTCAACAGCAATGACGGTATAGACTTATATTTGACATAAAAGTCCACTAACATAAAATTAACCGAAAAAGCAGCCTTCACGAAAGCACAAATCATACGATTACATTACCATAAAAAATAAATGTATAAGTGTGGTGGTTAGGCATGCAGAGTAAAAGCAAGCAAGCACTGTCATTGGAAAGAGGCTTTTTCTCCCTTTTTTCTATTATGTATTGCCTAGAGTTTTATTATTGCTTTTTCTAAATCATAAAATGTACTCCAAAATGGGCAACATAGAAAGATCACTTCTCTACCGAAAGTTTAAAAAGCAAATTAGCCAGGTGTGGTGGCACACACCTGTAGTCCCAGCTACTCGGCAGGCTGAAGAGGGAAGATAGCTCGAGCCAGGAGATCGAGGCTGCAGGGCTGCGATCATGCCACTGCACTCCAGCATGGGTTACAGAGCAAGACCCTGTTTCAAAAAAATAAAAAATTAAATATTAGAAGTATCTTCTTTGAGAAACACAAAATTTGGATTGTTAGATGGGATGATATAAAGAAGAGACAAATTTAAGTTCAGAGATGGAGGGCTGGGTAGAGAGTGAAATGAAACTGACTTCCAAGGAATAACTACGAAAATTCTAAATACAGAGCTGATAATAAATAATAATAGGCCCGGCACGGTGGCTCACGCCTTTAATCCCAGTACTTTGGGACGCCAAGGTGGGCGGATCACAAGGTGAGGAGTTTGAGACTAGCCTGGCCAACATAGTGAAACCCTGTTTCTACTAAAAATACAAAAAATTAGCCAGGTGTGGTGGTGGGCACCTGTAATCCCAGCTACTTGGGAGGCTGAGGCAGGAGAATTGCTTGAACCTGGGAGGCGGAGGCTGCAGTGAGCCGAGATTGCACCATTGCACTCCAGTTCAGACAACAGTGCGAGACTGTCTCAAAAAATAAATTAATTAATAAATAATAATAAAGAGTTAATTCACTGTGCTCAAAATTGTAGCACTATGGGGCAAAATGAGGCTGGCTTTTAGAGGAGAATTCTTGTATTCAAAAATGTTAAAGTCTTTTCTGAATAATGGAGGCTATAAGGCTTGGCCAGGTAAGCAGTGAGCCAGCCAGCAGACACTGAGACAGAAGTGAAGAGGACACGCATGTGAGCTCAAAATCACTGTGAACACATCACGGATGCAATGTGGTAGGTGCTGACTCAAACACTTTACAGGTATTGATGCATTAAGCTTTCATGGTAAACAAAAAAGAGAAGTTCTATTATTATTATTATTTTGAGATGGAGTCATGCTGTGTCACCGAGGCTGGAGTGCAGTGGTGCGTCCTCGGCTCACTGCAACCTCCGCCTCCCAGGTTCAAGCAGTTCTCCTGCCTCAGCCTCCTGAGTAGCTGGGATTACAGGTGTGCGCCACCACGCTTGGCTAATTTTTGTATTTTTAGTAGAGACGAGGTTTCACCACGTTTACCAGCCTGGTCTTAAACTCCCGACCTCAGATGATCCACCTGTCTCGGTCTCCCAAAGTGCTAGGATTACAGGTATGAGTCACCACGCCCAGTCAGAAGTTCTATTATGTTACACACATAAAGGACAGAGAGATCTAGAAACTTGCTCAAGATTAAGTGTCATCACTGGGATTCCCATCTGTGACAGTGGCCCCCAGTGCCCACGCATTTAACTGCTAGTCCACACATCTTAACCACTAGGCAACAAGGTTAACCACTAGGCCACACAGTGGAACTCTAGGCCACAAGTTCAACCAGTAGCCTACACAGCTTAAACGACAGGCCATAAAGTTTAACCCTAGGCTACACAGCTGTTCTAACCTTAGTCTGAAAAGTCACCAGCATTTCAGAATACAGAAGGATGATAGCCCAGCGCATCTCTGAAAGACAGCTGAGAGCCAAAGCTGAATGTGAGAAAGTCTTTAGATGTTGGTAAAATGTAATAATAATGGTGAATCGTCATATAAACTGTTAATATTATGTGCATTCTTTGCAGAAAACAGAAATCAAAATCCTTGATGGATGTTATAATTATTACCATGAAGAATAATACCTTTTTTGTTGATAAACAAGCTTACAGGAAACTTTAAATAGCTGCTTTCTTTTTATTCTCATCTTTCAGATAAAAACTGGCTCTAGATTGGCCCAAGATTGTCAGCCTCTAATATAGAACGTGAAATCTCCAAATCTCTCTATAAACATGTAGTTGGAGTTTCTAAATAAAAACAACAACTAAGGCATTGAGGAAATCAAATATTTTTTACTCGTAACATTATAAAGGGAGGGACATTTGGGAAGATGAAATTCGAGTGACCATCCAAGAGGAACAGGGCTGAGAGGTACAATGTGCTCTGCTCCCTGTGTAAGTGTAGTAGGCAAAGTTCTGTGGTGGCTTCTGTGATTTTTGACACTGTCTGGGCAAGTCCTGAGTATTTTCTCCCTTGAGTGTGGGCAGAGCCTCTGCATATGAACTATTTGAATATTGGCTCCCTTGATTCTGCCACTTTGCATGTGCAATGGTGAAGAGGTTACATTAAATACATGGCAGACTGGGTGGGGGATGAGAGTCTGCACCATGAGCTCCCACCAGCCTGGGAGGAAGCAAATCATCGTGTGGCGTGAACAGCTTGTTGGGGGCACATGGAGCTTCTGTGGGTGGCCTCAAACAGCTGGAAGTGAACTCCAGTGGACAGCTGGTGAGTAAACAGGGACCCCAGGTGCACCATCAAAAGAGTTGTCCTGACAACTTGAATGGGCTGGGAGAAGGGAACCTGGGCCCCAGGTGAGCAACACAGCCTGACAGCGTGATCACTGCCTGTAGGACCCCAGTAGAGGGTCCGGGGAGTTTGTACCCAGACTGCTGACCCACACAGATGCTACGGGAAAATGAATTGTGTTGTTGTTAGGGGCTAAGCTTGCAGTAATTTGTTATGGGGCAAGAGTAAACAAATTCAATAAGTACGTGGAGAAAATGGACCTCATCAGAAAATGAAACCAAACAACACAACTGCTTCTATTTTCTAAATATTGTGGCAAGTCCCTACAGATTATTAAAGTTATTCAGATAAGGGAGCCAATGCTGAAGTTTGCGTCTCCAAACTTTGAGCTATTCCTCATTATTTTGTCTAACCAGTACACTAAATTCTCCTCAGCTTATTTTAAATACTTATTAAATGTCCATATGCACCTGCTGCTATACAGAGCACTGGTACCAATATTCAACACCTAAGGAGAAAATTGTAGCACATGAAAGAGAAAACAGTTGAGTTTCTGTATGAGGGGGGTTAATTTTCTCAGGAATCTTCTACTTCCTTGCTTTTGTGGTTAAAGCGAATGAGTAAGGAAAGCTCTAAAGGCAATAGATAGAAAGAGCAGTCACTAAACCTGATTTTGCCTGAAGTTTCAAGAGAAGTATTTTAGTAGATATCTCAAGGCCTCACTCCTGGGATCAGAATTTCATAAGTGGAGGCTGGACACTTGAATTTATAAAAGCTCCCTAGATATTTCTGATGCACAGCCACTGGTTGAGAAGATAAGCAAGATCAACAGGGACAACTAAAGCTGTACTTCCATGCACTTTAATGATTGAATCAACTACTTAATTTTTCCAATTATTTCAGCAAATATTTATTAGTACACTGGTGAACCTGAGAAGAAAAACTCTCCCAGCCTTCAAGATTCTCACAGTGTAGGACAATTATCGTAATACCACGTGCTAAGTGTTATACCATCATTTAAAAAAGTATTCTGGAAATGTTGAAAAAGGTACAATTAGGATTGCCTGAAATAGAAATGGAGGTTGGGTGAGAAGGGAAAATTGACAGAGAAATGATTTTTAAGTAGGACATCGAAGTTTGCATCAAGTCAATGAATATGAGCAAGTTACTTCTATCATCATTCATTTAACACATATTCATGAAGAGCCTAAAAGACAGTAGCGTACTGTGGTTAAGAGTTTCTGTTCAAACAAGAGATGGATTGATGCCAAACTCTGATTTCTAATGTTCCATTTTCTCCTTTTTATATTGAACAAGAAAATAGTGATTACCCCCACAGAAGTCAATAATCAACAGGACTCTGCATGGGTAAACACCTAGCACCCTTCCTGACACATAGGAAAAACTGGATTTATATGGTTAGTCATCGAAGACATTAGCAATGTTGCGGCTGCGGCCCCCACAACTGCAGCTGTAAGAGCAAAGTGAGAGATGGGACTCTGCTCTTGGGAAATTCTGCTTGTGACACATAGGTAATTTCAGTGGTGCATGACTACTACATTAGAAGAATATCAATGCACTGTAAAAAACAGAGAGAAGAGAGTGTTTAATTTTGTTTGGAGAAATGAATCAAAGCTTTTCAATCAAGTGGGTATTTTAGTAAGTTTTGAGTATTGACTGGGAGTTTACTGCGCAGAGAAACAGAGCTATGAAAACCAGGTATTTCAGGTAAAGGTAAAGATTTGATGAAAGCATTCACACCTAGGACAAGCTTTCAGTTGACATAACCTGCTCCTTTGGTTTCTCAGTGCATTGTTTTAGTACAATCCGAGATGCATTGTCCACAGATAATTTTTTAGCATATCAATGGATATGCACATGAAATTTTTTTTGTTATTTCTGAAAACAATTATTTCTTTAACATATGTATCAACATGTTTTTCTGTACACTCAAAATCACTTGTTTAACAACATAGAGTAAACAACCATGCACTTAGCCCTGATTACTGATAGCAGAAGATGCATGATCAAAAAAACATGTACCAAAGTCTGAATCATTTTCTCAACATGTAAGAAACCTCATGAGTTGTGTACAGTATATGTGGACTAAATGGAAAGAAATATTTCATTCTAGGGGGAACTAATTCCCAAATTCAAAGAATGGATTCATTTTACCATGGAATCAGTGTGTGCAGGAGTCAGAGTGGAATGAATGAATCTCACTCCGTCTTTTTGCAGATGCTACAGATTAGTTTGTTAGTTTTCATTCCTTTTTTAATCTCTGGATCCAGTGAGGATTCCATAAAGAAACATTTTCCCTTAGATTTCTATTCTGTAAGATTCAGGGGTCCACTTCCCGACCCTTGGCTTATATATCACAATATATTATCTCTAAGGAGATTAATTGTGAATCACAGTGAGAAAAACTAATTGTGTTATAAAGACATTTTTTCATAAAAAATTCATCGTAGTAAAATTCTTTGAGCTTCTGAAGCCAGTAGGAGTAGGAGGTCTTCTACCATAAGTAGGGGATGTTTCAACCAGTTGCCCCATTCATCAACCACCCATCATCTGCCTTTCTGTAGTGAAGGTCAGAAATTGATGCCAATACAAATGACACATTTTGCAGCAACAATTGCATAAAGATTATAAAAATTATATAGTTGAGGGCACATTAAAATGCTTAACTACCAGGTCTACATATGTTTGGCAGCCAGAGACTTTGTGGGAACAATGACTCATGGTCTGATTTCTTTAATCAGGAATACTGGGGTGAAAAAAAGAAACCCTAAATTATTGAAGAAAAAATTTTATGTTGGTGTGGTTGGTGGCTTAACTAGACAACTCATTTCGAAGTAAAATGTTACCTTGCAAATAGATCATTTGCACACGTTCTGCTATGCAGAGCATGTTTCCTTCAGAGAATAACTTGGCATTTTGAACAGCGGGTTTCTTTCTTACAAATTTGATTTGCTTAGTAACCAAATGACCAGTGGCTGGTCCACAAACTCGATCATGCAGTGTGTTCAACTGAGTGTTAATACACGTGACAAATGTAGAAATGGTGATAAAATGTCCATTTTTAAAAGCTTTTACAGTGAAATTAGCTCTGGAACAAACTTGAAATATTTTTAGCTATTGTAGGAAGTGGCATACTGTAGATGTTATGTGAGAGTGGTATTTCTGGTTTCTGTCAAATCAACTTTTTCCGAGATTGCTACTGGATGTTTCCAGTACTTTATTTTCTTGGGCAGGATGGCTACTGGAGAATCGTTTCAGACCTCTTTCAGAAAAATGTATGGAACACAAAGTCGCAACACACTCCTCCTCCAACCCAAATATGAATGCATTTACAATAACCTATACAGAAAGTTACACTTTTAAAATAAAATGTATAAATAACTCAATTATTATGTTTTACCATTGAGCTCTTTTATACTTGAAGAACGTTTTCTGCTGTTGTCATATTAGAAAAAAATTTCAATATCACCTTTAAATAGAAATACATAAAATCCTGCTTCAAAAATAAATGAACAACCTTTTTTAAATGTGTGCAGTATTTTTATTTTCTCTGAATGATTCATAAATGTTGAACTAATTCTATTACCCTATAATGGCAGTGATTGATGACTTATAAGTAAGTTGGTTTGATTGTAAGGACTTGACACAAACTTTGGCATAGTTGTGAGATTTTGTCTAGATTGAACTTATTCCATAGTGATAGCATGGTAGCTGCATTCTTATTGAAGTAAGCAAACATATTTAAAAGCTATTGTCTTATTTTGACCATATGCAAGCCACATATTGAATAAACTCTGAGATCTTGAGATAGGAGTAATTCTTGAGTCAACCTGTAGATTTAAGTTATACCATTCTGAAAAACTAAAGGGCTTAATTACTGCTATTCAAAAATGACTGCCATTCTCCTTCCCTAATTTATGACTGCACTCTATTTCACATTTCTTATTTAAAAATCAGGATTTAAAGTCACAATAAGAAAATGACTTCCCTTTCTTCTTTTGAGTTAAAGTGCACTGCGTAAAATTATTTGGGTTTAGTTTAATACATTTCTGATCCATGACCTCTCTACTTCAGTTCTACACATGATATTTCAAGTAATTATCTTACTGAAATTGAGAAAGGATGTTGACTCATTAAAAAGAACATGCTTTTCCAAAGGAGAAAGAGGCAGAGGCCGAATCATAGAGACACTTGATATTCTGCTCAGGCTATACGGTATGAAGTGTCGGTTCATGCATTACAGTTTAGGCCACTATCCAGCCCATTTTCCATTCTCTGAGAACTGACATCTCAACTCCAAGATAAGATGCTGCATTATGTTTCTACTAGATGAGCCTGACCACAATAGATTATTTAATCCTAATGCTTGCCTGACTAATACCACAGAAGTCCTTTTGCTAAAGAGTTTATGAAGCCAGTTTAATGATAGAGCCCTAGAATAGAAGTCTATGGATTTCTGCTGCTAAATTCCTTGCAGAGACCCCAGGCCCTGTCTTTTCTAAGGATTAGATGAACACGTCTTTTTCTTTGATTCTTTGAGATAACTGAATATGTTTCCAAAGTGTCCTCATTTTCCATAAAATAGTGATTTTTGTCTTTCTTTAAAACTATAGATTCTTCAGAGGAGAGAGTTCAATTATCAAAGTTATGACAGTTCTTTTAAGATAACCACTATAGGCAGTAAAATATTATTCCACCCACTAGTTGAAGGAGGGTACAACATGAGAAAAGGCTATAGTAGTATTTGAAATCAACATTATTTCTCATGCTTCCCAGAATCATATTATCTTACTTTACATTTTTCAAATTTGGAACATTATAATAAATGTTTATGATCAATAAAAGATGCCAAATAATGGTGAAAATGCCAAAAGCATTTTTAAACCAAGGTTACATGGTGTTAAGTTTCTTTTCAGCATTACGAATTCTTCATAGAAACCAACAAAACCAGTCCAATAGGAAAATCAGGCTGCATATGATGCCTACACATTTCATGTACTGTTTCTAGCCTACATTTTGTAATAAACATTTTTTGACTTTCAATTTTGCAAGTCTACGAATTTCAATTGTGTGCCTGAAAAATAGCTTTATACAGCCGTATTCTTCCCTTTCTTACATTGCCTTCTTATTTCTTACATTTTGCATTGTACCAACCTCTGCTTGGTATTTATTTTCTCCAGACTTTTTCTATCAGATATCCTGGATTTTTTTTCAGATATAAAAGATTTATTTTATCTGAGCAGTAGCCATGTCCTGACATACGAAAGTTGCCACAATGTAAATTCAAAACAATGTAGAAAAAGGCAAATATTGGCCAGGCTTCGTGGCCCATGCCTGTAATCCCAGGACTTTGGGAGTCCGAGGCGGGTGGATCACTCGAGGTCAGAAATTCAAGACCAGCCTGGCAGCTAACATGGTGAAACCCCGTTTCTACTAAAAATAGAAAAAAAAAAAAAATAGCTGGGCATGGTGGTGGGCGTTTGTAATCCCAGCTAGATGGGAGGCTGAGGCATAAGAATTGCCTGAACCAAGGAAGCAGAGGTTGCAGTGATCCCAGATCCCAGATCACACCACTGCACTCCTGCCTGGATGACAGAGTGAGACTCTGTCTCAAAAACAAAAAAAAGAAATAAAGAAAGAAAGAAAGAAAGAAAGAAAGAAAGAAAGAAAGAAAGAAAGAAAGAAGAAAAGAAAAAGTGAAATCTTGCAGATGTATTATCTTTTTAAAAGTTACATAATTCCAGTTTGGTTTAGAAATGCCATATTTCCTTTCTCTCTCAGTTTTTCTCCTATAAGACTTGTGCCCTATAAAACAGGTATGTAATCATCTTTTTCTGTGGCTCCTTGTGCACATGGATAGTCCCAAGCTGAGTAGCCCACCATTGACGCGACTGCTCCAGTCATCACTCAAGGAAGACAGCTGCGTTTCATGGCAATCTCCTTCTGAAATGTTACAGTGAAATTTTCCCAGGAGACATATAGGTTTTGCTTGTGTAAACTTCTGAACTTTCAACATTAAGCATCCTTACTTGTAGAAACGTCAAAGTGTGATTAGTAAAAAGTTGCATTAACATAGAAGCAGAGAGCAAAGGTGTGTGTGTGTGTGTGTGTGTGTGTGTGTGTGTGTACGTGTTGGGAAAATTACTGAAAATGTTTCAAAATAAATAGAAAAAATCTAAATTATTAATTATTTTATAAAATGATAGGCACTAAGGAATCCAGATTTCATGTAAAATGTTTAAAAATTTTAAAAATAGGAACTTTACTTGTAATACATAATTGTCATATGTAGACTTCAGCAATGTGATACTTTTTAGGGTAATATAGAACAGACTGAAATATTTGTCTTGCAGACTTGTTTTCCATGCGTTACGCCAACTGTGCAAATGCTGGCTTGTTGGGGCGTCACCTTTCCATCACCTCACCATAAATCTTCAACATCATTTCTTTATGAATTTGGCCATACTAGCAGTTATCGAGTGAAAGTTTTATCTACTTATTTGTTGCTTACAAGGGATTCACAAAAACCCTATCAAATTACTGCAAAGTTGAGGATACCCTTTAAATTGACTCTAAATCCAAGAAAGATTAAAGAAGCTTTCTGTGTGTAGAGTGGGGGAGTAATCTAGTTAGTGCTTTTGAAGTAAGTCTTGCTTCCTGTAGTGAGAGAGGACATAGAAGTCAAAATGTCAAACGTCTTACCCTTGTGTTTATTTGTATTTTTACTCAACAAAAAGGTATTGGAAGACAGGATTAGGATAAGTGTCTGGAGTTCTTAAGAACATGATGGTATCAACTACCAACTTAAAAGCAAGGTGCACAGAAGCAATCTGATGCCCTTTCATTTGCCCTGACTAATGGGTGCCACTATGTCTTTGCTGCTTTCATAAAATTTGATCAAGTACCATTTGCCTAAAGTGAAATAGGGACTACTTCCTCAGGCAGAAGCTCTGTGTATGAATTGGCTCATAATGCCTTTGCCAACATTTCTCTCAGTTTTCAATGTGCAAACACGCTGAAATGAATCAAGGAAGCGTGATCTGTGTAATGTCAATTCTGGATACTGTGGCAGCAGCGTAGGCACGAAGACAGCATTGTGTTGTGCTTAGAATTACATTCCAGCTCAAGAAACTTACTTAAATAACCAGGGACATGTACTCCTCATGTCTAAAGTTTCTGATCACCATTTACAAGAAAGGAGTCGGATGTTTGTTTCTCTTTATATTTCTTAGAGAATTAATATGGTAGATCTTTGAAAAGGAGAAAAAAAGGCAAAAAACTAAAATATTAAATATTAACCAAATAATATGACTGTAGAAGTGGTATTACTTCTTGTAGCTGATTGGTAATAATGCAAAAATATATCCCAAAATACCTGTAGACTCAATATATATAATGGGAAAAATTACTTTCTGGAAAGGTTATTTTCAATAAGCAAATTTATTCATTTGGCCAAATATGAAATTTATTGTGCCCTTATCGTAATATCAACCCTTTGCAATTCTAGATGATGATTTCATAAGTGTAGATTAGTCTTTATAGAATATAGCAGGCCGGGCACAGAGCGGGTGATGTGGCTCAAGCCTGTAATCCCAGCACTTTGGGAGGCCGAGACGGGCAGATCACCTGAGGTCGAGAGTTTGAGACCAGCCTGACCAACATGGAGAAGCCCCAACTCTACTAAAAATACAAAATTAGCTGGGCTTGGTGGCGCATGCCTGTAATCCCAGCTACTTGGGAGGCTGAGGCAGGAGAATCGCTTGAACCTGGGAGGCAGAGGTTGTGGTGAGCCGAGATTGTGCCATCGCATTCCAGCCTGGGTAACAAGAGAAGAACTCCATCTCAAAAAAAAACAAAAAAACAAAAAAATGCAACACTGATTATCACTAAATTTGAGACACAACTGGAATTAGAAGAATTAGAAGGATAAAAGTTATAACTCACCAGTGGAGCTGACCTCCAACAGTAACAAACAATTTAAAACTTAGAGTCCAAGGGAGTTGTGTTAACCCTGGCTTGTTTTTTTGGTAGGAAAGTAGAGATGGCAACATAGCATCTTAAACATCATGGAGAAGTTAGTTGCTCGATGGGAAAACCAAGAGCAGGCAAACACTGCATGTTAAATCCCAGGGAAAGATCGGTACTCCCTTGGTACAAGGTCATCAATAACTTTCCTGGGACACAGCAGACACCGTCATGGTCTGAAGTGTTGAATTTTTCAAATGTCAACTTTCAGAGAAAAAAATGAAAGTTTCTGTCTCCTTGTAGGCACTGAAGCATATGTCCAAAAGTCATTCGGGGGGACAGGTGAAACTTATCTACCTGCAAAGATGAAATTGGTGATGGGTGTAAATAAAAGGACACTCATTAAAAATGTCGAGAAAAAGTCAGTACGAGGTAAAATGTAGACATAATTATTAATAACCTCATCTACATTGACCTTCATAGAATGGCTAACTTTCCACCAAATAGTACCAGACACACAATGACGAAAAAATTTTTTAAAAAAGAAAAAAACTCATGAGGTAAAATGATCTGTAAAACTAGGCCTAGTGGAGTAGTTCTACTGGTCATTTTGATAGTATCTGAAGAATACTATCAAATGTATACTATCAAAATGTGTATATAAAATTTATACTATCAAAATATATACCATTAAAATGTATCCCAAAAGGTCCAAACATCCTTCAGATGTTTGAATTATCCTTCAGGAATTTAAAATAACAATAATTAACATTTCAAAGGTTGTAGTGAAAATTCTAGACAACACGCATCAACAAAAAATACAAGTTTAACAGGGAGGGAGAAAGTAAAGGAATCAACTGGAAATGCTATAAATGGAAAGTATGCTAACAGAGATAAAGAATGTCTTTGAAAGATTCATTAGTAGACTTGACCCAACTGAGGAATGATCCAGTGAACCTGAAGATAGGTAAATGCAAATTTTCTAAATAAAAATACACAAAGAATAAAATAAGAATAAAATATGTTATTAAAATATCACTCATAATGAACAATTAAGAAATACAAATAATTAAATTTTAAATAAATGGGTATTTTATGTTTGTAGAGTTTATACTCTGGAAGTTGTAAAAGCCTCAAACTATACAAAGAGTTTTGGGAACACACACACACACACACACACACACACACACACACACACGCACACACCCCTCCCTACAGGGGAGAAGTCCACTTTCAACTTAGATACATACTGGTGCACTTATGTACCAATATTTTATTTTATTTACTTTATATTATTTTATTTATTATTTTCTCCAACTTTCATTTTGGGTTCTGGGGTACATGTGAAGGTCTATTTTATAGGTAAATTACATTTCACAGGGGTTTGGTGTACAAATAGTTTTGCCACTCAGGTAATAAGCTTAGTACCCAATAGGTAGTTTCTTGATCTTCATCCTCCTCCCACCCTCCACCCTCAAGTAGGCCCCAGCGTCTGTTGTTCTTTGTGCTCATGTGTACTCAATGTTTAGCTCTCACTTATAAGTGAGTACATGCAGTATTTGGTTTTCTTTTCCTGCATTAGTTTGCTTAGGATAATGGCCTCCAGTTCCATCCATCTTGCTGCAAGGGACATAATCTCATTCTTTCTTATGGTTGTGTAGTATTCTGTGGTGTATACATACACCACATTTTCCTTATCCAGTCACCATTGATGGACATTTAGGTGGATTCCATGTGTTTGCTATTGTGAAGAGTGCTACAATGAACATATGCATGCATGTGTCTTTATGACACAGCAATTTATTTTCCTTTGGGTATATGACCAATCATGGAATTGCTTAGTTGAATAGAAATTCTGCCTTGAGTTCTTTGAGAAATCAACAAATTGCTGTCCACAATGGCTGAACTAATTTATATTTCCACCAGTAGTGTATAAATCTTCCCTTTCCTCTGCGACTTTGCCAGCGTCTGTTTTTTTTTAAATTTAGTAATAGCCATTTTGCCTGGTATGAGATGGTATCTCGTTGTGATTTTGATTTGCATTTCTCTAATAATAAGCGAAGTGAAGCATTTTTTTCATATGCTTGTTGGTCACATGTATGTCTTCTTTTGAAAAATGTCTGTTCATGTCCTTTGCTCACTTTTAATGGGGTTGTTTTATTCTGGTTAATTTGTTCAAGTTCCTTATAGATTCTGGATATTAGATCTGTGTTGGATGCATAATTGGCAGATATTTTCTCCCATTATGTATCTGTCTATTCATGCTGTTTATAGTTTACTTTGCTGTACAAAAGCTCTTCAGTTTAATTAGTTCCCACTTGTAAATTTTTGGTTTTGTTGCTATGGCTTTTGGCATCTTCATCATAAAATCTTTGCCAGGTCCTATGTCCAGAATATTTCCTAGGTTATCTTTCAGCCTTTTTATAGTTTTACATTTATAGTTTTACAGTTTTACATATAAGTCTTTAATCCATCTTGAGTTGATTTCTGTATATGGTGTAAGGGAGGAGTCCAGGTTCAATCTTCTGCATATAGCAAGCCAGTTATCCTAGCACCATTTATTGAATAGTTAATTCTCTCCCTATTGCTTGATTTTGTCAAATTTAGGATCAGATTGTTTAATTTCCATGGAATAGTATGGTTTTGAGAGATCTTCTTGGTATTCATTTTTATTTTTATTGTCCTGTGGTCCAAGAATGTAGTTGGTATATATTTTTTTTAAATTTGGTAAGTATTGCTTTATGGCTGAGCATGTGGTTGATTTTCAATTATGTGCCATGTGCAGATGAAAAGAATACATATTCTATTCTTGTTGGGTGGAGTCTTCTGTAGATGTCTCTTAGGTCTATTTGGCTAAACGTTAAGGTTAGCTCCTGAATATCTGTTAGTTTTCTGCGTCCATGATCTAATACTGTGAGTCGCGTGTTGTCTTCCATTCTTATATGTGGTTATTAAAGTCTCTTTTTAGGTCCCTAAGAACTTGCATTATGAACCTGGGTATTCCAGTGTTGGGTGCCTATTTATTTAAAATGGTTAAGTCTTGTGGAATTGAACGCTTTATTACTATGTAATGCTATTTGTGATTTTTTATTGTTGGTTTAAAGTCTATTTTGTCTGCAATAATAATAGGAACTCCTCCTTTTTTTCTGTTTGCTTGATATATTTTCATCAGAGCCTTTACTTTGAGCCTATGGGTGTCATTGCGGGTGAGCTGGGTCACTTAAAGACAGCATATGTTTGGTTCTTGCTTCTTTATCCAACTTGCCGCTTTGTGCATTTTAAATGGGGAATTTAACCCATTTACATTTAAGGTTAACATTGATATGTGTGTATTTGATCCTGACATCATAGTGTTAGCTGGGTGTTACATAGTCTTGATTCTGTAATTGCCTTACAGTGTCAATAGTCTATGTATTTTTGTGGTGGCCAGTAATGGTCATAATGGTCTCTTGTTTCCATGTTTAGCAGTCCTTCAAGGATCTCCTGTAAGGCAAGTCTAGTAGTAATGAATTTGCTTAGCATTTGCTTGTCTGAAAAGGATTCTATTTCTCCTTCACTTAAGAAGAATAGTTTGGCTGGATATGAAATTCTTGGTTGGAATTTTTTTATTTAAGAATGCTGAATGTAAGCTCCCAATCTCTTCTAGCTTGTAGGGTTTCTGCTGAAAGATCTGATTTTTTTTTTTTCATATTGACCTTGGAGAATCTGATGACCATGTGTTTTGGAGATGATCATCTTGTATAATATCTTTAAGGGGTTATCTGAATTTCCTGAATTTGAATGTCAATCTCTCTAGTGAAGTTGGGAACACCTTCATGGGCAATATCCTCAAATATGCTTTCCAAGTTTCTTACTCTTTCTCTCTCTTTCTTTCAGGGACACCAGTGAGTCATAGGTTTGTTTTCGTTACCTAATCCCATATTTCTTGGCAGTTTTGTTTATTCATTTTCATTTTTTCTTTATTTTTGTCTGAGTTGATTTGACGAAGTAATCTTTGAATTCAGATTCTTTCATCAGCTTGGACTATTCTACTATCAATAATTCCAATTATCTCATGAACTTCTTGTAGTAAGCTTTTCTTTTTTATTGGACCAATTTCGTTCTCAAAATGGATATTTTATCATTCAGCTCTTGTATCATTTTATTGGATTTCTTAGATCCTTGGACTGGGTTTCCACTTCCTCTTGAATCTTGATGATCTTCATTGCCATACAAATTCTAAATTCTGTGTCTATCTGTCAGCCATTTCAGTGTGGTTAAGGACCATTGTTGGGGAGCCACTGCAGTCCTTTGGAGGTAACAGTACACTCTGGCTTTTTGAGTTGCTAGCGTGCTTGCACTGGTTCTTTCTCATTTGTGTGGCTGATGTTCCTGTAATCCTTGAAGCTGCTGTCCTTTGGGTGGGGCTTTTTGCTTGTATAATCTTTGATGACCTTGAGGATTTCACTGTGGTATAAGTTGGGTTCAGTCAGCTGGCTTTATTTCTGGATGATTTCAGGGGGCCAAGGCTCAGCTCAGCACTCCTGGAGTGAATGTTCTAACACTGAGGGGCTGAAACCTGGCACATGGCTTTTTTTTTCTGGTTTCTTGAGGTCAAGCATCTGCTGCACTTGGGGGGCTGAGTTGTTCCCGGTCCACTGACAACAAAATTTTGATGGGAGTTGCTGGCTAAAGTGCTTCACTGGAGTTGCAGCACCTGGGTCTGTGTGTACTGGAGGTGGTGGAGTGGTGGTTCTAGGGTGTCCATGCACATGCTTGCATCAGTGGTGGTGAGGCAGTGGGATATGCACATGGGTGCTCACACCAGTGGTGGTGGCAACGTAGTGAGGTCTATGTGCATGCACTAGCAAGCAGCTTGGGGAGGCTGCAGGTATGTGCATGTGGATGGAGTCCCATCTGCAGAGGCTTTCTGAAAGTCAGATGGTGTCTGCCAGTGAAGGAGCTATGGCTTCTGGGAAGCGCCCTGGCTGGGCATCTGAGTCTGTGCTGCAAGTGGGTGCAGACAGGCATGGACTCAGGGAGAGGCCAGCAGACAAGGAGGTGCTCAGATCAGACTGTCCCTATCTTCTGGGCAAGATCACCCTCTTCAGTCCAAGTCTGACACTCAAGAAAGGCCAAAGCTACCTAGAAGTGTGTGAAAAGCTTAAGGGGTGTACGTCCCTAGCCATGCTCCACTACGGTTGTTCCCATGCCGAACCCTCTGGGCTTTGCACAGGCTGGAGTCCTGTCCCTGTCAACTCTCTAAGCAGCTCTCTCTGACAGTTCAAATGTCTGCAGTGGTCACGGGGTCTCCTGCGGCTCAGTTTCTGGAAGTCCATGGGAAGAGTGAGCTACTCCATGCCTACTTAACTCTCCCCTTCTCTTGGAGCTCCTCAGGGGCCAGGAACCAGTGCTGGTGCTCAGCAACCCCATTCAGGGGTCCCGCATTTCTCCTTTTTCAGTCCAGGGTCTGCATTCTCCCTCTGTCCATTCTCAATGCCTTCTTTCTGATGATCTGCTCAGAGTGTGATGATCTTCCTGACGGCCTGGTCTCTCGGTGGGAGAAGCTCCTCCTGGCCGCATCTAGTTGGCCACTTGGCTCCTCCAGTTTCCTGTTTGCTAATATTTTAGTTGATATTTTTGCACCTTTGCTTTACTTTTTATGCGTATGTGATCCTGTTCAATTTTCTTTTTTTTTTTTTTTTTTTTGCAGGTACTATCCTGCCACAGTTTTTCTTCTTTTAAAAATTATCCTGATCTGTTTTCTCATTTCTATTAAGTCAGTGTTATATGTTCTTAAATGTTTTGGTAAAAGTTACTTTTGAAGAAAAAGTATTTTAATCTGATGTGTCCTTTCTTGGGGGGATATTTAAATTATTTAAAGATATTCTGCTTTTCGAATCCTTCTAAAATCCTTTTGGTAATTTAATTTTTTCTCTATGAAAATGTCCATTTTATCAAATTTATAAAATTTATCAGCTGAAGTTTTTTCATAGAATTATCAATATTATTATTACTCATGTTATTACTATTATCTTCCCCCATTCTAGAGGGTAATTAGTGTGTTATATGAGTTATATGTCTGTTCTTTCTTTTTTAGGATACATGCTTAAATCATGACCTAAACCTCTATACAGGTGCAGTTCAAAGTAGATCTTTTGGCCCGTGGTGAATTCTTTCTTGCTAGGATATTAGAAGTATCACAGATCTGTGTACATGATTGGATGGATGGCTTTGCCAAGCCCAGCTGTGTGAAATCTGTCCATCCGCGATCTGTAGGTTCAGGTAGGGTTAATTTCCTGCAGTGTTCTTTCCTAGGAGGGCCAATCCTTCACACAGGACCTGATATCCAGAAGTGACCTTGGACTCCACCACAACCTCACACCAAGCCCTCTGTGCTTCAAAATATGTCAGTGTTACCTGTCCCTGCTCTCTGTTTCAGAACCTGGAACATGTCTGTCAAAACTGTGGCTTCTGTGTGTGTGGTCTATGAAAGGTTTGCATTGATTCAAAGATGAAAAAGTAATTTTAGGTGTATTAGCTTATAGTGTACTGGGATGCAAATTCCAAGAGGGAAATATTTATTAGTGTTTTATTCCATAATCTACTCTCAATACCTAGAAATTATCTAGAATATAGTAGGCACATATTCAAACTAGTTAAATGAATGTCTAATTATTTCTATGTCGACCCTATGTATAGGCTAGAATAGTGGTAGCATGTAAGATATGAGTCACAGAAGTATTAATAAACCTATAGAGGAACATTTATTAGATAAAAATTGTCCTAGAGTTAAAACATTAAGATATTTTAGTAATAATCATTCTTTTTATTATATCAGACTTTATTGTGAAGCTAACGTGACCTTTACATTCCCCTATTTCATATGTGTATAAATCCAGATACCATATTGAGTGCATTTATTGAATGTATTTACATAATTTTATTATTTAATCCTCATATGTGTGTATGTCTGTTGTGTGTATAAACATTGAGATGAATTATACACAATTTTATTTTACAAATGAATTAATTTGCTAACACCAGTTAATGCCACAGCTGAATTTAAAAACCCTGCAGTGCACAGCACCCAGCCGTCTCTAAACTTCTTCGCGGTTTCTACTCTACTGACTTGTTTTAAGGGTTATCTTTCCTCAGATTTAACTCCCTTCCGCACTTGATGAAAGTGATTAATCATTGATAATTGCCCTAAGTCTTGTTGATTTGGGTTAATGTAACATTCGTTGGTTTTGAATGACTAAGCCAGAAGGAGGTCTTGCATGCATCAGCGTGCACCATGCCTGGGACATGGAACACAGCTGATGCCAACACAGTGTCTTCTGGGAAGCTGAAGATCACCCTTAATGCACCGTGTGGGGAGGAATAAAAATAAAACCCGATCGTAACAATTCTATCGGATCTTAATGTTGTTAAATTTACAGCGAGGTTGGATGAAGGTTATAACCGTCTACGTGTAAATGCAATAAAGGAAAACTGATAGGAGATTTTTTGGCATCATATAAAAGAAGACAGCGGACTCTGAAGATCAATCTTTGAAAGGGCTGCTGACACTACCTTGAATAAAATGCATTTTTAGAGCCACTTAATCTTCTAAAGCAAGTTTGTGAAGTGAGGGCTTTAACATTTTAGCCTGAATACATCACATTTTCTGAACCACACCATCCATTCTGAGAATTACCAAAGCCTGAGATATAACAGGGACAGGCCAATGATAAAATCACTTCATAGCAAAACAATAAAGAGAGTGGCACCATAGCAAGTTTACTTCCTCGAATTTTCATTAGTTGAAAATTCTGGTTAAGGCCATTGAGCTTTACATATTATCTTATGTCATTTAATTTTTAATTTTACCTATTATCTTATGTATTCAATTTAATTTTAATGACCTCATCCTTAGTGGTCATTATTTCTCCACAAACAAACAAACATAACCTTAAAAAGGTCGCTTTTAAAAGTTCAAATAAAAATCATACAGTATACCTACTTTTTTCAAAGTATGCTATATTAGACTGTTTCTACAGAATAACTTGTGAGTAACCAATGTGAAAAAAAATTGAATAAGGCTTAATTTTGAGTTTTAGAATATTATACCATAAATATTATAATTATTATACCTGGGAACTTAGCCATACTTTTAAACCAAACATATATAAGTCCATATACATGTTGTTATTAGCCAAGGTCTCTGTCATTTCGATACATTCATTTTACAAAAGTAAACTACTTTCTTTCTGTAATAGCTGGTATTAATTTGTAGTAACAGTCTCTCCACAACTCTATATAGAGACAATTCAAAATACACATACCATTGGCTTTTGCCACCATTGGCTTTTGACCTATGGGATCACTTAGCATTCTACTTTTATTACTAGAAAGCAAAACGTCATTTTATTTAACAAATAAGATATTAATCTATCTGAATTTTTTTATTAGAATGAAAATCATGCAAATTTAACACAGAAAGAAAGGAAGAGAAACTAGATGGTATCTTAGAAAATATTTGGCCCAGAGAGGAGGAAATACTAGAAATACCACTGGCCATAAAATCTTATGAAATATGAACATCAACAAATTATCACTCCCTGTTTGCTGTAATGTTTTTCAACATTTTCCTGTATATGCAGAGATTTAATACACTATACATAGAGTTCTATATCTCTTCCCCCATCGACCTTATACAATTAGTTCAGCTGTAATGCAACATATGTGAGCCTAAAAATCACCATAATATGTAAATCATACAAATGACACACACACACACACACTTAAACACACACACACATATACACATACATACCGATACACACACATAAGCATACACACACAGATACACACATACACATACACACACACACGGATTAAGGGAAAATTGGGGTTGGAGGACAACATTCAACAACTTTGGCAGTGACATTTAAGAACAATAGTAATCTCATTAAAAGTAAAATGGTGGTGGAATTTTGTACATGTTGTGATCAAACATATACATACCACAGTAAATATGGAATTTCATTTTTAAACATATCCAAGGCCAGGCGCAGTGGCTTCGACCTGTAATCTAAACTTATTTGCCAAAGATGCATTTCATAAAGGACTGTTACTAAAACACACAAAGAACTCTCAAAACACAATTATAGTAAGAAAGAAATCAGATTAAAAAATTTACCAAAGCCCTGAATAGACACCTAACCAGAGAAGATATACAGATGGTAAATAAGCTTATGAAAAGCTTATGAAAATGTATCTGATGATATATAATGTAAAACCATTTACATCATGATATATGATTTTACGTCATATATCATCAGATAAATTCTAGTTAATACAACGAGATATCGCTACACATGTTAGAATGGCCAAAATTCAGAACATTGACAATACCAAACCCCAGAGAGGATGTGGAGCAACAGAAACTCTCATTCGTTGCTGGTGGGAAGGCAAAATGGTGCAGCCGCTTTGGAAGATGGTTTGGCAGTTTCTTAGAAAACTAAACAAACTTTAACGTATGATCCAGCATTCTGTTTCCTGGTGACTACCCAAAGTAGTTGAAAATTTATGTCCACATAAAAACCTGCACACAGATGTTTAGAGCAGCTTTATGCATAATTGCCAAAATGTGGAAGCAATGAAGATGTCCTTTAGGAGGTGAATGGATAAACTGTGGTTCATCCATTTACTCAGTGCTAAAAAGGAATGAGCTTTCAAGCCCTAAAAAGACATGAGAGAAAACAAGCATTAAAGCAGAGTTGATTATTTAGTCGGTTTGCCATCAAAGTTATTTGTAAAAACATTGTGATAATCCAAGAACAATAAATGTACGTGGTCTTCTGTTGAACAGCGTCCCCTTATCTGAGGCTTTGCTTTCAGCGGTTTTAGTTGCCTACAGTCAACTTCGGTCAGAAAATATTAAATAGAAAATGTCATAAATACACAGTTCTTAAGGTATATGTTGCATGTTGTTCTGAGTAGCATGATACAGTCTCGTGCTGTTCTGCCCCATGCCACCGCTGGGTTGTGAGCCACTCCTTTGTTGAGCATCTCCATGTTGTGGACTCTACCTGCCCATTAGTCACTTAGTTGCCATCTAACTTATCAGATTGACAGATCCCATGAAGAAGGGTGTGTACGATAGTACAAGATTAATGAGACATTTGGAGAGAGACCACGTTCAGATTATTTTTAGTACCATATGTATTAGTCCTTACTCAAACTGCTATAAAGAACTATCTGAGACTGGGTAATTTATGAAGAAAAGAGGTGTAATTGACTCACAGTTCCGCAGGCTGTACAGGAAGCGTGGTTGAGGAGGCCTCAGGAAATTTACAAACATGGTGGAAGGGTGAAGGGGAAACTAGCACCTTCTTCACATGGCGGAGCAGGAGAGAGAGAGAGAGCAAAGGCGGAAGTGCCGCATACTTTTAAACCATCAGATCTCAACAGAACTCACTCACTATCATGAGAACAGCCAGGGGGAAATCTGCCCCCATGATCCAATCACGTTTTAACAGTTCCCTCCGCCCACATTGGGAATTACGGTTTGACAGTTGGGTAGGGACACAGAGCCAAACCATATTCTCATACATTGTTATAATTGCTCTATTTTATTATTGGTTGTTATTAGTCTCTTACTGTGCCTAATTTGCAAATTAAACTTCATCACAGGCATGTATGTACTGGAACAAACGTGGTCTATTTGGCTTCAGTACTATTGATGGTTTCAGGCATTCACTGGGTGTTTTTAAATGTATTCCCTGTGAATAAGGGAGTGTGACTGTAAGTTATTTATAATTTCATATTATTATATATTCTTTCAGAATATCTTTATTGTAAAAACATTTACAATAATAAATGTTATACTGACATATAACATTGACATAACAATATTCCTTTAAAATAAATTAGAATAAATTTTATATAATGAGTAATTAAAAATGAGCACTTTGAAGCCAATTGTAATTCTATCACCTAAAAATTATTTAAGCTTGACCAAATTACTAAACAACGCCAAACCTGAATTTCTTTGTCTAGAGAATGGAGATGAAAATATTTCCCGCATTTTAATACGGTAGAGAATGAAAAGGTATAACATTTGTAAAACTGTCATGCACTCAATAAATGCTAACTGTAGGAGTACAGTCCTAAGATTTTAATAAATCTGGGTGAAGTATTAAATATTTTTAAGGTTTCCAAATTCATTTTAGCAAGTTACTTTCCAAAAGATGTGTATAAGAGAATACTTGTGGTCCAACTTTGCCAGAATATTATTTTAAAACAATTTGCTATTTTTACAGACATATTTCTTTTTTTTATTTGCTTATGAGTGACAAATGTATTTTCAGAGGATATCTTTCCTATGGCCTGGAGTTTTTCCCATTCCACCACATGCCTTTTTTAAAAAAAAAATCATTTCTATACCTTATGTTCCTAGGTTGCTACTTTGGGTTTAAATTTGGAAGTACATTTAATGAATCCCCTGTCTTCCTTATTTTCTCTTAAATGCCTCATTCTTATCTCCTGTTCATGGTTTTTCTTCCTATGTGTCATTTCTACTTTCTTTCACCTTTTCATTATTATGTCACAGAGCAAAAGCTGGTAAAGTTTCTGCAGGCCTCTTCTTGATGCCTCCTCTAAGGGGAACTCTGTTCTCATCCGCAGTTCCTGCAAACACCACCTCCTATTCTATTCAGCCTCATGTGTTCCTAGACCAGGTCAAAGTAAATGTAAGCTTTATAGATGACAATTAAAGAAGCTGGGGAGAGGGCAGTGAGGTTTTATATCAGAATCACTTCAAGACACTTACTTATTTGAAGCATACCAGGCTAAACTTTAAAGTGAGACAAAATGTGTTGGGTTTTGAGAGTGTGCAGTCCTTTTTGCTGAGAATCGTGTCCCAGCAATGTGTCTTCATTTTTCAATTATTTCACTTGCTTGAATTTTGACTTGGTTTTCTTAACGTGAAATTCATCCTGCGTACAATTATCTGTCTGATGTAGGTTCTGAAGTGGGACCACACATCCCTTTAGTCTAAATTGTCAGAGCTTTTCACAGTGTAGAATTACCCTAGCTGACTTTTATGCAATGCACATTGTCGTCAAATTCAACTTGCCATTACTTGCACGTGCCTTATTATTTTTCCCTATTATAATTACTTTCACTCTTTGCATAACCTTTTGTCTCTGGCTTTGCTGCGTCTCTGTACACCCAAGCTTTTGTTGTGCTCAACTTAAATGCTGCCTTTCATAATCTAGTTTTCTTTTGGCCAGGTTCTCGAGAGGGCACAGACATAGCCAAAGACATTTATGATATGACTATTTCTGTGTAATTTCTGGAAAGCAGCAGTAAGGAAGGAAAAGAATAAATCAAAACGAAGGCACTGATCTTGGATGTCCACCACCTGTTATCTCTCAGTGACACTGATTGTTCAGTCTTGTCTGATCATCTTCAAAGAAGAAACACAACTACAGTGTCTAGGGATATTCAATGGCCTGGGTTTGGCTGAAGGAGAAAGGAAAACAAATGCATGTGCCCTTTTCTGCTAGCCGTAGTCACAGGTTTAACCCACAGGGCAGGAGCTCACCTACAGCCAGGTTGCACACGGAGCATTAAGGCCTTCATGTACCAGAGTCAAATGGGAAGCCCGAGGGTGAGAGGTGGGGACATGTGGAAAGGCAGAGCCATATTTCGTTTGAGTACAATTGGATGAACTCTTTAGAGAGCAATGATTAAAACAAGAAATGGGGGAGATAAAGCCAATGGAATCTGAAGGAGACATATGTGGTAGTTGAGGCAGCTCCCCAATCCCAAAACCAGACTGAAATCAATCTGTTTCAATCAGTTAAACATGCAGAGCACCTTATATGTTTGTCTTTCCTCGGTTTAGCTCTAATGCCATGACTAAAGTGATGATTATGTTGTCTATGTTCACCGGGGTATGCTGTATGTATTCCTATAACTTTTAGAACATTGTTGACAAAGTTTTTTAATAAATAAGTTAATAAAAGGTATACGCAACACATAAGCTACCAAACATTAGAATTGGTTTTCCATAATATTTTACATGTCCTTGCAAGTCCTAATTCATTACCCTTTATATTCTTAGTTAGCTAATAAATAAAACATTATTGAAATGAATTAGTAGAATAAAAAATTCCAGTAAACTGAGATCAGTCCTATGTCCTATGAAGGGTCTGGTAAGTTACCCTACTTGCAAGCTAAAATTCCAGGCTGCCTGTTTTATGGATGTCAGTAGAAACATGAGGTTTGTGGGTTAGAAATAAAAACAGTATTACTCAGAAACATAGCAGTGGCCTGAATATCAGCATTGTTTTTATTTGCAACTCGTTGCTCAATTCCTAGTTCCCTCAAAGCAACAGTGACACCTGCACATACAGTGAGTTATGTTATGGGAGAGGACATGAACTTTAAGAACATGACCCTTCCATAATGTCCAGTTAAAAAACACCACAAAACAAAACCTGCCCTTCTTGCCCTTTGTTCTGGGGGGAGGTGCTATTCCTATCCTCCAAGACTAATCATTAAACAAAACATCCTTGAAAAGAGATTACTGTTGCGGCAGTCAAGGCCTCTGCTTGCGAAATGAGCAGCAATGTGAGAGACCCACTGAGAATTATCTTCCAACAATGAACACCACTCATTTCTACACTTGGTCTTGGTTATTGGCAAAATTTTCTAAGACTAAACACACTTTTGAGTGCTCTGATTAACATGACCAAAAGAGGGTAGGACAAAATCTGTTCAATTTGTCGCGTAGAACATTTACTTATGGCTACCAATAACAGGGCTCCAAGCAGCCAAATGAAGACAACGAATAACGTTGATCTCAACCAGGCACCGCCGTGACCTGAACACAGCCAGATGAGCAAATGCCATAATCCATCAGGGTCCACCTTAGAAAGCCAGGTGGCTTGGCTGGGCGCGGTGGCTCATTCCTGTAATCCCAGCACTTCGAGAGGCGTAGGCAGGTGGATCACGAGGTCAGAGATCAAGACCATCCTGGCCAACATAGTAAAACCCTGTCTCTACTAAAACACAAAAAATTAGCTGGGGGTGGGGTGTGCACCTGTAGTCCTAACTACTTGGGAGGCTGAGGCAGGGGAATCACTTGAACGTGGGAGGCGGAGGTTGCAGTGAGCTGAGATCATGTCACTGCACTCCAGCTTGGTGACAGAGCAAGATTCTGTCTCAAAAAAAAGAAAAAAGAAAGAAAGCCAGGTGGCTTTCTTCTCAAGTTTCTGTATTGACCATTTTTCCCTTGGGTCTATGGAATTAATTCAGGTATAGTGAGATATGTTAGTGATGGTACAGATTCTTGCCTGGCCCACAGGAAGGAAGTCACATAATAACCCTGGCTGGTAAGTAGAGGCCGAACTGAATGCTTCCCAGGGCTGAGGCATCATCATTGAGCACTTGAGCTAATGCCAGGGACAAGTCTGCAGCACCTCTTCTAATTGGATGACTCACATTGCAGAGATAATCATCAGCATTGTGCTCATAAATGCCAAGTAAGCAATTGTTCCAGGAAGCTTCTCCAAATAACCAAGAATGGCTTTCTTTTGAAGAGATCTTCATAGTCTACATTAAAGTTTAATGTAGACTTCTAAGATCTACCTTACATAACGGTGGTGTTTTCTTAAACATTTGAGGTCTGTGAGAACCATCTCTAGGGTATAAGTCATCATATTTTTTGAAAGACAGCAAGTAAAGGTCTGGCTTCAACAGAACAAGTACAGCCTGCAGGACATATATAGTGTCCCTGGAGAGAAAGTGTTATGTGAAATTGCTGGGGCTATGCAGGAGGGTCGTCTCCCAAGTGGAAGGCATGCATGGGCAGTGCCCCCAGTGTAGCCTGGTAAACAGCTGGCAAGCCCCAGAATCCCCAGTTGCCTTGGAATTATTGGTTCTAGTCATTATATTTGAAGGTACTGCCTGTGAGTCATCTATGCAATCTGTGTGTTTTGGCCATGTCACCATGTGAGTTGCATCTGTCACTCTGAATTAATAAGCAATGGCTACAGACGCAGAGGCAGGAGAGACACCTGGACACTTTGGCAGATGGTTTGTGTGGGAAGAGCAGGAGCTGGTAGCAGTTGTGATTTCAATAGCCTTCTTGGAAAGGCTAAGGATAAGGGTAATCGAATGGTGGTCAGAGCCATCAGATGGCAAGGATAGAACAGCAGCCAGTTAAGTGTAAGAAGCTTGCAGTAGTTTGGCAGAGGCAGAGCTAAAAGAGGGTATTTTCTTTCTTGAGAAAGATGACAGGGGTGACGCTGAAAGAGAAAGGATTATTAATGTCCCTTCCTCCCCAATACCTCCTGTGGTAGGAGGTGTTCCTCTCCCAAGGTGCTGAGGTTGCTGATCCCACTCCACCACTAAAAGAAATAAAAAAGTGCCCCTTTCCAGTAGCTAAAACAGAGCCTTTTCCTAATCACTCCCTACTCTCACCCAGGCATATCTTCGAAAGATTAGTGTGAGAACAGTGAGGGCATAGTCATTGAATTTATAGGCACCTAGTGTATCTCCACTTTGACCCGCATAGGTCAGTGTAGGATGGCTTGGCAAGCAATGTTTTCAAACAAATGGTCATTATCCTTAAGACCCAGGACCATGTCAATTCAACAGGAGAATCCAAGTGGCTACACGAAAATTCAGTTAGAATCTCCTGGGCCCCATTATTGGCTTGATTGCCTTTCAGAAGATGGACCAACTAGGCTGGCCCAGGTTGCTGTTAAGGGAAAGGAAGCTGTGTCTTGCCCAGAAATGCTCAGTGGGGAATCCTGTATCTTCAAAGAATATCTATGAAACCTTCCAAAACTTTCACCCTTATCATCACCTAGAAAATGGTCAGTGGGGAATCCTGTATTTTCACATAATATCTATAAAATCTTCCAACACTTTCATCCTTATCATCACCCAGGAAATGGTTGAGAGCAGCTCATTTCTTTCTGTGGATAGCTGCGTTCAGAGACCAAACCAACCTAAAGTGTGTCAGCGAAGAGGACGGAAGGGAGACCGGGTCAGAAGTCTGTGTGACTCTGCCATGTTAGAGCGTCCTGTTCCATGCTTAACAATCTCCAACACCTGTGAATGGGGGGGACCTGGATGGTGATCAAGTATTGTGGCTCTCGGCCCCTGGCATGGCTTCTGTGATAAAAGGTGCACAACTGTCAAATGGCGAACAGTTCAGAAAGCTAAAATCAAGACACAGGTTAGTGACCAGGGCAAGATTTATATGGCTGCATTTGGCTGATCAGACTGAAGTAGCAACACCAAATCTTGCCCAAATGTCTGTAGTGGTTAGACCCATTTATAGCCCCAAGAAGGATCAAGGATGCCAGGAGCAGCTGTGGCCAACAAATCATACATTTCAGCCCCCCTCTGAATCACACATGGGCCACACTCTGGCAGGAGTCACGTTCTGCACACAGCAGCAATGTCTCCATCAGACACATAGCCCATTATTCTGTGTTCTCTGCACAAGGCAGAATATGACCCCCTGCCTGGTACATGGCAGATCCAGGAGTCAGTGGGGTCTGTCTGGGCAGTGCTGGCTCCATCTGCAGCTAGAGTCCATTTAGTGACCCAGAGAATAAGCCTGTATCAGGCACTGATATGAGTTACCCAGATTGTCCAATCACTGTAGTTTGTCTCTATAGTGCATGGACCCAAAGAAGAGAATTTTCATCTTCTGGTCTATACTTTCCTAAATAGCACTGCAAACAGCTAGACCAGTGGCAGCAGCCTAAATGTCAGTACACATATAGCAAGGTCCATGAAGGTCAACAATGTTAACAGGGTTCAGAGCCTTGACCACTGCCTTGAGCCCTGCGCACCAAGCAGAGTGACCACATCCATTTTTGGTTCCATTTGTGCACAGGTGAGGCCAAGCTACCAGAACAGCCCGTTTTCAGTCCCAGTGAACATTGGTTACCTAGGCTCAGCCACTAAGAGGAATGAATCTCTGTCCACCAAGGACCCAGCAGAGCGTGTGGTTTGTTTCAGGCAGCAGACTGAGGCAAAAAAAGTAAAGTTTGCCCAAAGCGCATAGCTGAAGTGCTGCCGAGGCCAGTCCAGCGGTGTGTATCATAGACGAAGTCACCACTGCAAAGCGGTGAGGATAGATTTTATTCAGTAATAACTGCTTATTTCAATAGAGAAAAGGGTCTAGCATGAACTGAACTCAACTTCAATTTGTGCACAGGTGGCTGGGAGTTTTAAAAGGAAAATGAAGAAGGAGGGAGGGAAACAGTCGTGCAGGAAAGTGGGGTGGTTAATATGATCCCATCTGGATTTGCTGATGGGACTTATTAAAGTTAGGCTCCCAGGTCCAACAGGAACTGGGAGCTGAGAGTCACCTTCTTGAATATTTTCATTTCAGACATGGCTCTCAGATCCCTGAGAAGACAGTTCTGGGGGGTAGAAGAATTTCATCCCATAGGAGCAGAGAAAGGGTTTAGACATGCAAGCTTTTTAAAGTAATTGCTTTAAGAAGGGGTTCAGAGGTCTGTCTGCCTAACATCAGGTTTTGGCCAGAATGAATTGAGTTTTCTCAGGCAGGAGCTTCAGGAAGCTGGAGTCACGATCCGAGGGGTGAGTCCTCGAGCTGCTAGAAACTCTGCTAGTGTTTGTTCAAGTCTCTATGTAGGAGGTGGGTGTGGAGGAAATCATTTGCTCTTGAGAGTCTTTAGTTCTTTCAGGCCAAGGTGGCAGCCAAATCGTAAAGAGGGCTCAGAGCAGCCTGACTAGAGTTTTGCCAAGGAGAGAGTCTGTCACATCTTAGTTATACCATTTTCCATCTCACAAGTGGGGGCCACTGGGTTCTTCCTCGAGTCTGAGTTGACCTGCCCCAAAATGGGTATATCAGCCAGAAGACCCCCCGGGGTCTGGGGTTTGGTTTGCACAAAAATCCATTAGTACCTTTAGTAAGAAAATGGCTGCTTTTCCAGCAGAGTGTATCTTGTAGCTCTTTTGGGGGTGACAAGTCCAAAACCCTGGAGGCCGTCTCTAAGTGAAGGCTGCCTTCCTCTGCCAGATGATCCATTTGGCAAAACCATTAGTCAGAGAAACTTATAGCTCAAAGGGATTATTCATATTGAAGGGTCCCAAAGGTACCAGCACTTCCCTCTCCATATAGAGAATCTCTCATTGGAAGAATTTTTCTGGAATTTATGGGACAGGGAACTAGAAGCACATAACATCTCAATTCCTGCCATATACCTAGAGGTAGAAACACCATTGACATTTAACCGCTCTCCCAAAGTCAAGGCCAATTTCCCTTCCCTTCTCTGTTGAAAGCCCTGCTCAAACCAGTCGAGGTCAATCCTGGCATCCCCTTTCCCTTTGTAATCAGGTAGATTGTGACTAGGTGACTCAAGCTCCTGTCTCCAACAGAGTCATACATATCTGAGCGCCCGTCTCCTGAAATTTGAGATCCTGGCCCCACCCTTAACCATCTTTTTCCTTAAAGCAGTTGAGCTCCGAGAAGTGAGGAAAGGAGGGATCAGGGTCATGAAAGAAGCAGGTGGTTCTATACCTGCACACAGGACAGATGTGTGGACTTTTGTTTCCAAGCAGTGTGACTCCTGCTTGAAGATCATTCAAACAAATTGTTTATGCTCTTGGTTCACCCTATATTGGGTAGCACAATAACCGTAATTGACACCATCTATTTCAGCTTTTGGGGCTTCTTGACTCAGTGGTCCCTGCCACATTGCTCTCTGGCTAGGGCTGCAGGGTTTGCACCTTTTGAGTGAGTTGCGCTGGATGCACACAGTGGCATCTTTTGTAACACGATTACCCAAAGCCTCATTACCATGATAACACCTCTTAAGTTCTACCTTGGCTTCAGCAAATGGGCTACCAAAGTGTTCCCATGCAGGGATGTCGGAAATAATTTATCAAAAATTTTTTTCATTTAGATTCTTATCCTTTTCTGAGTTATCCCCATCTGCACTTTAACCCAGCCAGCCAAGGGAGTAAGAGCCTTAATGCTAGTCAAACTCTTCCAAGGAAATCTTCCCAAAGGAGCCAACACTCCCTTAAAGAAGACAGTACCCTCTGAAGACATCTCTAGCACCTTGGACTATTGTCTGGGAGTGGACCTAAGTTACGCATGGGAGATTAAAGAAGAGATTGAGCCATAATATGGCTTAATTGTTGTGCTTCTTATTTAAAGAAACATTATAGGCACCACAGCGTCATCTCCCAAACAAACCAGTCAATGTCCTCACAGGACACCTGATTTCTGTCTGTCGTGGTTGCAAATTTCCCTCCTTTCATCTTTGGTGTTAGTATTCACCTCAGCAACTTGTCTGAAAAGGAGTGGGTAATTCTGCCCACCCAGGAAGAATCTCATGGTTGGTTTTTATGATGAGGCAAAGCTGAGGCTGACATTCAGATTGGCAGGGAAGTATCTGCATTCTGAGAAAAAGCTAGCCACAACTAGGGCACTGTTAAAATGCAGGGCCGACTGTATGGCACTCAGCTAGCAACCACATCCCCAATTCCTACTCATTCACGACAATGTGTTGGAACCGTTTAGTGCCCAGTGGACTGTGCATTTTGGTCAACACAGTTACTACTTAAGAGTGTGGACTTCCTTCCAATCCGGTTTATCGGTTCATGACGACTGCCTCCTCCTTTGTCCTTCCTCTTCTGGAAAAGCATTTCTTTGTCAGCATCGCATGGTTACACCCCAAATTTGTTGACACCAAAATCGTGAGGGTATGGTATTTTACTGTTAGACAGCTATCGTTTCTTAGAAAATACTGAAAGAGGCTGGGCATAGTGGTTTGTGCTTGTAATCCCAGCAATTTGGGAGGCTGAGGCAGGCGGATCACCTGAGGTCAGGAGTTCCAGACCAGCCTGGCCAACATGGTAAAACCCTGTCTCTACTAAAACTACAAAAGTTTAATAGACTGAAGACCTGAGACAAAGGACGGAATCAGAGCAGTACAAGGGCCACAGCATCAGGGTTTCCTTGCCTGGTTGCCTGAGTCCCAATCACTGCAAGATGACACTAAGAGATCTGGGCAGCACCTGCACACTTGGTGACCTTCATTACGGGAGAGGAATCCTGAGTTTAAAGAGCCCAAATCTTTTACAATAATTACAGTAAGGAGATTAACCCTTGGCTTCCAGGAGAAACACTTTCTGTATTTGTTTTGTTTTGTTTTTGAAACGGAGTCTCACTCTGTCATCCAAGCTGGAGTGCAGTGGCGTGATCTGGCTCGGTGCAACCTCTGCCTCCTGGGTTCAGGGAATTCTCGTGCCTCAACCTCCTAAGTAGCTGAGACTACAGGCATGCGCCACCACGCCCAGCTAATTTTTTTGTATTTTTAGTAGAGACGGGGTTTTACCATGTTGGCCAGGCTGTTCTGGAACTCTTGACCTTAGGTGATCCGCCTGCCTCAGCCTCCCAAAGTGCTGGGATTACAGGCACGAGCCACCGCGCCCAGCCACTTTCTGTATTTTCTAAGGCTCTATGCAAATCTCCCCTTTATTCCGGAGGGAGGCAGTGTCGCTACTTTTCCTATACAAATAATCTTGACAAGATAGTCCAAAAAAAGACAATGAGTTCCTCAGCTTGCAAGCATGCAGAAACACAGAGGTTCACGAACTGTCTCCCGAAAACATAGCTACCTCCCCATAAAATGATTTCATTTGAATCTAGCTCCTACTGAAGTATTTGTTCTGACTTTGTTTTGTGGGACATCTTAAGAATTATTTGTAATTTCATGGATGTTTTTTCCAAAAAAAATTGCAAATGTTAATGCATAGAAAATTCCGGTGTTCAAAGACTCTGTGAAGGCCATATATAGATTTATAATTCCCCAGTTAAGAATCTCTATCTAAAGAGTTTTTGTCATTAGTGTAGATTATGTAAATGTGTGAGGATTTGAGAGTAATTGTTTAAAGGTTTTTATATGATACAGAAAAAAATGGGTAAGAGAAATAAGACCTTGAAAAACTATTCATAACTCACGCTCTTCCTCCTCCCTCTTTTTTTTTTTTTTTTTTTTGTACAATAGCTTCATCGCAATAAGTTTTCTTCCAGTAATTTAGATTGTAAGTTAAACCCACCCAGACATATTGATATTTAGCGCTGATGGAACGGAAGGTAATGAGTTGCTCGAAGAAACAGGGTACTTCACTTCACTGCTGACTCAGGAGTCTATTTTTAAATAGGAGTTTCTTTTTTCTTTTCACTGTGCTTGTTTAAACTGGACTTAAATAGTACCTCAAATGTGCACATTTTGAAAAGATTTACATAGAGTTTAACTTTACCAGTAATTATTTTTCACTAAAGACTCTGTCTTAAAGTTTAATATAGGCACTAAGGTATTTTTGACCCCACTTACAAATGTATATCTTGCTATCAATACATCAACCCTTTCATCATAAATATGATAGTGTTTTTTATATCAGCATCTTCCAGTAAGACTTGTCAAATATAAAGGAGGCCTCTTCTATGATATCAATATTTCACAAAGCCATCAGATGCACTTAAGATCTTACACCGCTAGCGTTCATGCATAATTTGCCATTGTTGCTCTTAATGATAAAAAGATTATTTTGGGTTGCTATTTAGTTTTCTTTAGTATTAAATTTTTATGAATAGTTGATTATAATAGATGTTTTGCCTTAAATTATAATATGGGACAAAGAGGATGAGTCTACATTTAGGACAATATAGTAGTTCTAAAATATCATTGCAGTCAGCAGGCAAAATTTATATAAATACAAAATAAATAAAACTGAGGATTCACAAGGTTTAAATATAAGTTGAGTGTAATGCACACTCAACATAAACAGACTCATTCAACTATAAAACTGTTTAAGGCCATTCACAGTGAATAAGATACATATAAAAACTTTCTGACATGAATTACTTTATCCAATATTTTATTGAAGATCAATTAAGTTCTAGTTGGCCATTGAAAAACACGAGTTTGAACTGCACGAGTCCACTAACATATGAATGTTCTTCTGCTTCTGCCACCCCTAAGACAGCAAGACCATCACTCCCCTTCCTCCTCCTCCTCACCCTACTCAACATGAAGACCATGAGGATAAAGACCTTTATGATGATGTACTTCTACTTAATGAATGGTAAATATGTTTTCTCTTTCTTATGATTTTCTTAAAACCATCTTCTCTAGCTGACTTTATTGTAAGAATACAGCACATAATACATATAACATACAAAATATGTGTTAATTGACTGCTTGTGTTATTGGTAAGGCTTCCAGTCAACAGTAGACTACTAGTAGCTAATTTTAGGGAAGTCAAAGTTAAATGTAGGTTTTTGACTGTGCATCAGCCGGCACCCCAAGCCCCGCATGTTTCCAGGGTCAACTGTACTTTGAAAACATTCAGTTTAATATAATTATGTAGAACTTTAAGAAAAATACATTGGGGGATAATATTCTGACATCAATACACCACGCTGTGTTGTTCTACTCACATTATTTAACTCAATCAATAAAAGAAGAGGAGATGGAGTCCATTCTTTCAACACACAAGGAGGCCTGCTGGAGCATGGGGTCACACACGGGAAAGCAGAGCTCAGAAATCAGGGAAACCAGAGCGATTCTGCACCATTGTTGGCTGTCTAAACATTGATTTTTTATTTTATTTTATTTTATTGAGATGGAGTCTCACTCTGTCGCCCAGGCTGGAATGCAGTGGTGCAGTCTCGGCTCACTGCCACCTCCACCTCCTGGGTTCAAGCGATTCTCCTGCCTGAGCCTTCCGAGTAGCTGAGATTACAGACATGCATCACTGCACCCTGCTAATTTTTGTATTTTTAGTACAGATGGGGTTTCGCCTTGTTGGCCAGGCTGGTCTCGAACTCCTGACCTCAGGTGATCTGCCTGCCTTGGCCTCCCAAAGTGCTGGGATTATAGGAGTGAGCCACTGTGCCCAGCGTAAATATTTCAATTAAGAGAACTAAGGCATTTTTCTTTATTTATTTTTAAGTTTGAGTGGGTTTCTCTTTCTCATCTCTTCCTCTCTCATGTGATGTCTCTGCAACTGAGTGTCTCTTCAGTGGCTTCCGCTCCCTTCAGCATCTCCCTCTGTGAAACTGGCCACCACTTCACCATCTCCTTCTTCAGGATTCCCATACTGGCCAGGTAGCCCCAGGTCCTGGACTCTAGACTTAAAGCCATTTCTCTCTTTGCACCTCTATTCCCAGGGTACTTCTTCCACTTTGAATTTCTAGGTTACTTCAATTTTTCTTGTTTTTGGTTCATCCAACAAATTCACAAACTTTACCAGGAATGTGTTCCATTGTTCTGTATGGATCACAGTGGCTCCAAAGGTAAGTCATGCTCTCCAAAATGTTTCTCAGACCACATGAAGAGTAGATCTGTGGAGCCTTCTGTGTCAGATTTGTAAGTCCTCTACACTTTCTGAAGAATCATTTCATACCAAGTCAAATATCTAAGGGCAGCATACATTTCAATGGACAGCTTAGGTGCAGTTTACATTTCTGACATCTGCGCAAGGTCTGAGATCCATATATTTTCATTGATGATAACAAACCAGAAACCTGATGCTAAGATCTAATGTCTTGTGAGATAAAACTGTAGGGAATTTGACTCACTCATGGCACAAAAAGGAGAAACGATAAAAGGATATCTTAAACAAATTGATACTTTTGACAAGAAAGGTACTACGAAATTACAGCAAACTGGCTTGAAAATGTTTCCCTTATATTAGATTTGGACTGGCTGCTCCGTTATTTGCTATGTCGCATTAGAAAATGAAAAACCACAATTCAGAGAAGTTGTAGTTGGCATTTTAAAATTCCATGTTATTGTTGAATAATATTTGCATAATATGTGTAAATCAGCAGAAAAACATTAAAACTGTACAATTTTCCTGTATTGCAGGTACTTATGTTATTTCCTCATTTAAAATGCTACTGATTTCTAGCATATAAATTTGTGTGAGGTTTAATAACTTTAGCATCAATCTCACTTGTAACTTCCCAATTATTTTCGTCTTCTATATCAGTAGGGCTTCAGTCACTTAGGAAATAGAAAGACAGAACTGAGGAACCTGAACCCTGAAGTCTAAATACTGAATTACCTAGGAACACATACATGGTTCTAATTGTTTCTTACATATGCCGCTCTTCTCTAATGTTGTTACTTCTTGTTTGTAGCTGTTCTGCCCGAACCTGTCACTCCCATGAGGTCTTTCATCTTCCCTGGCATTACAGCCACCTGCAAATCCTAGTGGCTAAATTAATAGAAATTGAGTTATTAATTAATCCACATTCCACAGCCTCATTCTGAATTCAGAAAAATAACCCTTCAGAAGGCAAAATGACTTAATGCATATGGAAAATTAATAGGCAATTTGAGACTAAGCTTTTCTTGCTCTGTGCCTTTGTACCACTCAGAAATAACGCTGGAAATCCTAACATGCCTCTCACCCCAAGAGACCACGACCAGCTTTAAGATATGACACATTTAAGAGTCGATTCCTAGTGTTTAGTGTAGAAGACATTCAAAAATTCATCTGTGGCTTGGAAGCTGAAAAAAATACAAATATCTGCTGCCCTCTCCTTTATTTCTAAATAGAGATAGAGTCTCACTATGTGGCCCGGCTTGGTCCTGACTTCCCCTTTTATTAAAGGGGAAATAGTACATTTGTCTAATATTATGTAATAATTGAATCTGTAATCATTATATCCACAGGATCTAGCACATTACATTTTACAGTAGATACTTAATAAATATATATTGAATAAGTAAAATAATGATTTGTATTAGTGAGTTCCCTAGAAATAGACTCTGAGTGAAAAATGTGAGCGGAAAACTTATCTGAAAGTGCTCTTAGGAGATGCATCTCTAAGTGGGTGAGAAAGGCAGGATTGGGCTGAGGGAGAGCGGGCCTTTCCTGTGGTCACAATTGAGGCCTCAAGCAACCTTATAGGGATTTCTGGAGCTGGGGTAACCCTTCCAAATTGTTCCAAGTTAAGACAAGGAGTCAGTCTCTTCATCCTTATTGGTTATTGGCCGTGGACTGTCACCTGGGAGGACACATGCTCAGCGAGGCAGGCGAAGGGAGTTTCCATAGGAGGTGCAGCCCAGAGCCATCACTAGCTAATGTTCTCAGCATCTGTGAGAAGAGTGAGCCAGCCCTGAAGAGAGAATCTAGGTGTAATTAGTACCACAGGGTACACTCTTAACTTATTTTTTTCCATGTTTGGGGAGTTTTTAAGTAAAGAAAATGCAAAATAAAATACACAGCTTCAACTCATAGTATCTATTCTCTTAGTCCTACGTCGCTCTCTCTGCTCGTTGAAGAGAACTGATGCTTTCTTCTTTGCTTAGAAAAAAGAAACAATTCTCTTTCAGCTGAACACATGGGAATTGGGGCAAAGGAATACAGAGTGGTCAGATCGTAAAGAACAAGTATGGAGCCCCTGTCCAAGTAGACGCTGACGTGTTTCAAGTTCATTACTTCATTTGCAATCCCCTGTTGATATACTCATTAAGACACTGATTCATGACTTTCCATGTGGAAGGCATTTGGAGGTGGGCAATGTTGAAAGCAATATTCATCCTGTCTGTAGTAGACATGTTATTGTGTCCTCAACAGTTGACCCCCTGTTCTTCAAGAGTGCCCCCAATGAAGCCCATGTGGAATATTTGCAGTCCTGCTGCTGTGCGTTTGGCAGGTGACTCTGCCATTCCAGCCTCTGTAGGTTTGTTAGGGAGTCGTGTCATCAAGCTGCCAAGGGACATGCACAGATTACTCCAAAAATATTAAAATATTACAGTATTTTAAAAAAGACAACGCTTTAATTTGTTGGCTATTTCTCAATTCAGGTATATGTATTTTATTTAATAATAAAACAAGGAACAAGATTTAGAAAAGCTATTATGCATGGAATACTAGACATTGGAAATCAGTGTAGTCATTTTAGATATTTATTCATTTAATACTTAAACTAGATACAAGAGGTGCATGTCATTATTACCATTTACTTTTTGTGAATGAGGAATATGGGATCAATTGTGTACAGATGTAATATGGTTTGGATTTGTGTCCCCACCCAAATCCCATGTCCGCTTGTAGATCTCAGTGCTGGAGGAGGGCCTGGTGGGCAGTGACTAGAGCATGGGGTTGGATTTTCCCCTTGCCGTCCTCGTGATAGTGTGTGATAATGAGTTATCATGAGATCTGGTTGTTTAAAAGTGTGTGACACCTCCTCCCTCTCTCTCTTCCTCCTTCTCCAGCCATATAATATGTGCCTGATTCCCCTTCACCTTCTGTCATGATTGAAAGTTTCCTGAGGGCCAGGCATGGTGGCTCAAAACTATAATCGCAACACTTTGGGAGGCTGAGGTGGGAAGACTGCTTGAGCCCAGGAGTTTGAGTCCGGCCTCAGAAACATGGTGAAACCCCATCTCTACAAAAAAATATGTATATAAAAATCAGCTGGGCAGAGTGGCTATAGTCCCACCTACTCAAGAAGCTGAGACTGGAGAAGAGCTTGAGCCCAGGAGGCCGAGGTTGCAGTGAGGCGAGACGGTGCCATTGCATTCCAGACTGGGTAGCAAAGTGAAAGGCTGTCTTAGGAAAAAAAAAAAAGTTCCCTGAGGCCTCCCCAGCCATGCTTCCTGCAGAGCCTGTGAAATAGTGAGCCAATTAAACCTTTATTCTTTGGAAATTACCCAGTTTCAGGTAGCTCTTCATAGCAGTGCCAGAATGGACTAGTACAATACACTTGGTTTGCTAATAAGTGGAGTGGTTGGAAGAAGAAAAAACTTTTTTTTAAATTTTCTTGAATTAATTGCCTTATAATGCCCTATCCTAATATTGGTCAACAATTCCTATCCAAATCGCTTGGGGATAGCTGTCTGTTAGAATTTTTTGACATTTAAGAAGGTGATAAAGGCTGGGCGTGGTGACTCACACCTGTAATCCCAGAATTCTGGGATGCTGAGGCGGGTGGATCACCTGAGGCCAATACGGTGAAACCCTGCCTCTACTAAAAATATAAAAATTAGCTGGGCGGGGTGGCACATGCCTGTAATCCTACCTACTCCGGAGGCTGAGGAAGGGGAATCACTTAGACCCAGGAGGCGGAGGTTGCAGTGAGCCGAGATGGTGCCACTGCACTTCAGCGTGGGTGACAGAGTGACACTCTGTCTCAAAAAAAAAAAAAAAAAAAAAAAGAAAGAAAAAAAGGGAATACGGAATATACAGATCATATAACATTATAATGACCTCCTGATATGTCTGGACCAGTACCCTTAAACATATGCATTGTTATTTCTTTAATTAAAGGCAGAAATGCTCACATTAAATTGGATAAACGAAGGCAACAAATGCCTCAGAAAAAAAGCAGGCCAAAACAGGCTGGATTTATTTCAATATTTTTATGACATGATTTCTGTTTTCAGAACTTTTTACATTTTGGAATATTGAATAAAAAAATTTTGGTCCAAACTTATGTGGATTTCAAAAACCAACAACTTGCAATCTCTCTCTGGGGAAAGGTGAGACTTTGATTTTCCCTGGACCCTCCCAGGCAGTGTTCATAGATAGATACTCATGATCCTTCTCTGGAGCTCCAGGCAGTGTTCATAGATACTCATGATCCTTCTCTGGGGCTTCAGGCAGTGTTCACAGATACTCAGGATCTTGCGTGAGGCTCCAGGCAGTGTTCATACATACTCAGAGGATCCTTCTCTGGGGCTCCAGGCAGTATTCATAGATATTCATGATCCTGCGTGGGGCCCCAGGCAGTGTTCATAGATACTCAGGGTCCTTCTCTGGGGCTTCAGGCAGTGTTCATAGATACTCAGGATCTTGCACGGGGTTCCAGGCAGTGTTCATAGATACTCAGAGGATCCTTCTCTGGGGCTCCAGGCAGTATTCATAGATATTCATGATCCTGCGTGGGGCTCCAGGCAGTGTTCATGGATACTCAGGGTCTTTCTCTGGGGCTTCAGGAAGTGTTCATAGATACTCAGGATCTTGCACGGGTTTTCAGGCAATGTTCAGAGATACTCATGATCCTGCGCTGGGGCTCCAGGCAGTATTCACAGGTGCTCAGGATCCTGTGCTGGGAACCTGAGTATGGATCCTGAGTGTCTATGAACACTGCCTGAAGCTCACGATTCGGCACTGGGGTGCAGGACATGCTCATCTGCTTCCCTACTGACATCATCTGCTGATGCCTCTTTGCTATTGGGGTTTGGCTTTTGCATTAGTGGATATTTAGCCACATCTGTTTTCACTATTCACTAAGTGACGGCTGTACACTCCCCTCATGACAAGCAAATCTACCTCCAGATACTGCACAGTCTTCCCTGGGGGAAAACCTCTACCGTGGTTGACGACTAAATGTGCAACTATTTTAAATTTAAACAATATCTTTTTTGTTTTTAAAATTATTCCTTTTGTTTTGAAAATGATTCTCTACTTCTTGAAATTCTTGTTTTCTTTTTCTGATATTAAAGCAATTGTACTCTCAAATTGACATGTTTCATTTTTTATCAAGAAAATTCATATTTTGTGCTATATAAGATGTTTAGAAATCCTTATGACATGGACATTTAGATGGAGATAGAATACCAACGTGACTGACAAAAAATGATTTAAATCGAGTGGGATAAAAATCAAAGCTAGGTTTTCGTGGGAAAGTGATGCAAATTTTCTACATGCTCGACTGTGTGCTATTATTATGCCTTATCTCATTTAATCTTTGTAATAACCCTATATTATAGTTAGTATTATTTATCTCATTTTGCATGTGAAAGAGTCAAGACTGAGTGAGTTTAAATAGGCTGTTCAATGTGACACACTAGTACACTGTTAAAAGTTAAATGTTTTAAAATGGTGTATAATTTACAGCAAAAGAGCTTATTTTAAATATACAGCTCTGTGAATTTCTACCAAGGTATACATGTTTAGAAGCACCCCCAATTAATTATGAGACTATTCCAGGACCCAAGAAAGCCTTTTTATGCCCCTAACAACTCATACAAACCGTGCAAGGCAGTCAATCTCTATAGATTATTTTTTCCTTTCCTTGGACTACATTGTCTTATGCACTGTATATCTTCTGTCTTATTATTTTATTCACTAATATATCCGTCAGATTTTTTTCATGTTGTCGAATCAGTATAGTGCTGTGTGCTATTCCATTGCATGGCTATACCCCAACTTACCATTCTACCATTAATCAATATTGACTTGATCCCATCTGAGGCTATTATAAATAAAGTTGGTATTAACATTCCTGTATGTTGTGTATTTTCATAGCCAAAATCCATCATTTTGTTAGGCTTGCTATATTCAAGAGTAGAATTATTGGTTTGTAATTTATGCCAGTGTTTAGCTGTCCAGGTCCTGCTTAGGTTTCTTCGATAGCTGTCATCTACTTATCTCAAATCAAAAAGGTATGAGAGTTGTCATTGTTTTAGATTCTGGGTGTTATCTGTCTTCTAAATTTATGCTATTGTGGTAGGATTAATTAGTATCTCCTTGTTACTTTTAAATTTCTACTTGTCTGATGAATAATCATGTTTAACAACTTGTTACATGTTAATGGGTATTTTGATATTCTCCTTTGTAAATCCTTTATTGAAGACATTTGCTCATTTTTTAATTGAGTTGTCTCTCTTTTATTATTGATTTGAAATAGTTCTATATATTTTATGGAGATGAGTCCATTATCAAATGAATATATTACAAATATTTTATCCCAGTTTGTGGCTGACTTTTCACTTACTTATGATATTTTGATGAGTGAAAAACTATTCTTTAAGTCAATCATTTATGCAAAATGCTTTCTCAGTCCTATTTAACAAATTCCTCTTTCTATCTTAATAATAAACCTATCCACCTAGCTGTTTTTCTTTAGAAGCTTGAAAGTTTAACTTACTAACTTTAAGTCAATGATCCATCACAAGTTAAATTTTGCCAGTGTTTAAAATAATTATCCAAGTGATTCAATACAATTAATTGAGAAGACTAGTCATTCTCAGTTGAACTGCCAATTATGCCTTTGTTATAAAATCAGATTAACTTATGTGACTGGGTTTATTTCTGGACACTCAAGTCTGTCCCATTGATCTATTTGTCAATACCAAATACTCCTAAATTCTGGATCTTTACAAAAAGCCTTATTATCTGGTAGTGTGTGACCTCTACCTTTGAACTTGAAGATAGCCATGCCTAGTAGTAGATCTTTGTATTTCCATATAAATTAATAGTAATGTTAATCTTCTCAGATGGCTTGCTTAATTTAACTTTTATCTTATTGAATCCATAGATGAATTTGGAAAAATTGGCATGTATAAAGTTATCTGATGCATGAACATTATACAGTTCTCTCCATTGATGTGGGTGTCCTTGAGTTTTTCTCAAGAATATTTCTCAATTTACAGCATATTAATCCTGCTCATATTTTAGTTCACTCATTTCTAAGTACTTGATGTTTTTCAAATACTGCTATAGTAGGTGTTTTGTATTTTGTTCCCTCTGTCTTGCTGATACATGCAAATAAAATGGATTATTTTTGTACTGATTTTGTTTCCAGGAACCTCATTGAGTTCGTTTGTTGTTATAGTAGACTGAATAATATTTTAGATTGCGTTTTATTTCACTCTGTCTCACATTATTTTCTATTTAGGGGCTTTTGTACAAATTGGGTTTGGAATGGTAGTACTTGAGGACTAAGCTCTGATTTTTTTTTTTATCTTGCCCAAATTCCTATCTAAGGGGTCTGGAGAGTCAGGCCCTATAAGCCACAAATTCTCATCAGATGTGTCTTATTTAATCCTATATACCATGATTTACTTTCCAGTCTGACTCTGGCATAACATTATGTGACAAAGAAGAAACTCAAAATATTTTACCCCAAAACATGTTTCTTTGCCGTATCTTGAAATGGCCCTGCAAAACTGCCCTTTGTGAGGGAAAATCTGCATCTGTAAAAAATCTCTATTAACATAGCTAGATCTTTTTCTTTCAGGCCCTCCCAATCCTAATGAGATTAACTAAGAGAGTCTAGCACCTTTTAAAGATCTGAATAGAACACATTTGTCATCTATTGTCTCTAAGAGCAGCCACTATAAGACTTCAGAAGAACCTTGGTCTCCATACTCTTTTATCTTAACTTGAACATTTACGTTCTATGATCCCAGGTCTTTAGACAAGCTCAACCAGTTTAAAGAAAATCTTTAAACTTACCTTACCAGGTCTAGCCTGGCAGACCCCCCACAACACACTTCCAGTTGTCCCACCTTATGTATTTCTTAAATGTATTTGATTGATGTCTCATGCCTCCCTAAATTGTATGAAATCAAGCTGCGCCCCGACCTCCTTGGGCACATGTTCCCAGGACCTGCTGAGGGCTGTGTCACCGGCCATGGGCACTCATATTTGGCTCAGAATGCATCTCTTCAAATATTTTAGAGAGTTTGACTCTTTTCACGGACATACTCATCCATGTTTTATACAGAATCATAAGAAAAAAGCTTCTGAAATTTCCTCATTAAGTATGAAGTATGATGTTAGCTGTCATTTTTATAACATGTTCTTTATCAGATTGCAAAAGTTCCCCTCTATTCCTGATTTGCTGAGAATTTAATCATGATTTTTTATTTATGAAATCCTTTTTTATATTAAATTACTATTTTATTATTTATTCAATTAAATGTGATAAATTACATTCATTTGTTTTTAATATATTAAATAAACCATATTTTTGGAATACATTCCATTATTATATACCTTTTTATTATTTATCATTTATTAATTATTTCATACATAAGCACATTCTATTTGCTAGTATTTTCTTTAGTATTCTTGTGTGTGTGTGTTTGTGAATATATAATGAGAGAATATATAAGAATATAATATATAATCGTATATATCTATATATAAGAATATATAAGACAAAATATATGAGAACATATATATGTATATAGATATGAATATATACGTATTCATGAGAGGTATTGCCCAGTAATTTTCCTTCAGTGAAATGCCCTTATGAAGTTTTGCTATCAAGCTTTTGCTAGTCTTGTAAAATGCATTTGGAAATATTCTGTTTTCTATCCTCTGCAATATTCAAGCAAGTTTAATATTATCTCTCTCACAAATTTTGAGAATTCACCTTTGAAAATATCTGAGCCTGAAGTTTTCTTTATGAAAATGTATTAATTATGGTTTCAATTTATTTAAAGACATAGACTGTTCATATTTTCTATTTTTCCTGGTATCAATTTTTATGTTATATTTTTCCAAAGGATCAGCAAACATCATAAAAATTTTCAAATCTATTATGATAAACTTATTAAAAATAACTCTCCTTTGTCACTCAGATATCTGTAGTATTTGTAGTGGGAACCTCTATTTCATTCTTGGTATTTGTAATTGTTTTTTCTTCATTTTTCTGTTAGTCATGCTGGAGATTTATGAATTTTATTAATCTTTTCAAAGAACATATTTCTGGCTGTATTGATTTTTTTCTATTTTATTTGTTTTTAAAATTTTATTTACTGCTGTTTTCGTGTTTATTATTTTGCGCCATCTTATTTCTGTGGACTTAATTTGCTGTTATTTATATGGTTCTTAGCTAAAGGCAAGATCCTTTATTTTATGGCTTTTAAATTTTCTTCTCTAGTATATGCATTTAAAGCTATAACTTTTCCTATAAAATATGGTTTGGCTGCATGTCCGATGCTTATTATCATGCAACTTAAAGCATTTTTTAACTCCTTTGTACTTTTATTCTTTAATGAGTTATTTTTAAATGTGTTTGTTAATTTGCAGTGATGTTGATCTTTTAGTTATCTTTCTATTCTTGATTTTTATTTAATTCTACTGAAGTCAAAAAATTTACTGAATGACTTAAAACATTAAAACATACAATGTGTGCTCCCTTGCCAGATATATGGTCTATTTTGGTCAATGGGTTGTCTATGTATTAGGAGAATTTGCATGCTCTACTTGTTGGATATATAGCCTTCCAAAAATATCAATTAATACAAGTCAGTTCACCTTTATGTTTAAATTTTCTACTGTATTAGTGCTTTTCTAACCATTTTTCTTATCACTTGCTGAGGATATATGTTAAAATTCCTAAACATAATTCCAGGATTATCTACTTCTTATCTAATTTCTTTCTATATTCTATGCCTTGAAATTGTTATTAATTGTCCCCACGTATAAGTCTTATGTATTTCTAATTATTAAACCCTTTGTTAATATAAAAGATCTTTCATTATCTATCTTAATACTTCTTACCCTACATATTTTTATCTGATGCTAATATAGCCACATCTGATAACTATTTTTGGTTTGAAAGTGCAGGATAAACCCTTGCCCCTTTGTTGTTTAAGTTTTTCTACATCTTGTATTGAAAAGGACCTGTTGTAAATTTTATGTATCTGGATTTCTAAATTCAGTTTATCTAGTTTCAAAATATTTTCCTTTAATCAACTTTGTTGAACTATAATTGGCACAGAACAAACTATATGTATTTAAATTATACAACTGGTAAATTTTATTATAAAGTATTCTAATAGAAAATTATTAACAATCTCTCATGGTTGTGTCTCCTTTTTTATCTTAATCAATGAAGTATTAAATCATTATAATTATTATTATCATTAATATAGCATTATTTTTACAGTTGTTGTGTTCTCTCCACACTAACAGGGTGGGCTCCACTCCCAAAATTTTACTTGGAGGTAGAGAGTGATGACTCCGCACAGGTGCCGAGAGTGTAGGAAGATGTTTACTATTCACATAATGAGGCTTTCCTGCAAGGGCAGGGTGAGCTCCGATACCGTCCAAAATGGCTTAAAAAGCGGGAAACGGGGACTAGCATGGAGTTTGGTGGATTCTGTGGGGAACCCATGAGGGTTCCCACACGTGGGCTGTGCCTGCCTGGCTCGAACTTCCTGATGGAGCCCAAGGCTGGGGACCCTGGCTTGTGTGTCAGCTTGCCCATGGGTGAGCCAGGTAGAGCAGGAGCAGAAGGGTTCGCCTTGAAAGCACTCAGCAGTCAGACATCAAAAATAGTTCGTTTTTTAAATGTGCATGGGTATTATCTTTTTAGTTGAAGATACTTTTACAATATTACAAAACTTTCCTTCGATGTATTACTGTATTCTGCTTTAAAGTTGTAATTTTATCTCTTCCTTAACCACATAAGCACCTCAGAAAAGTGATTCTGGGTGTTCAGTATGGCACCTTCACCCAGGGCCTGATCTTTCCTGAGACTTAAATAAAAACCTGTGGTGGCTGGGCACGGTGACTCACGCCTGTAATCCCAGCACTTTGGGAGGCCGAGGCGGGCGGATCACAAGGTCAGGAGTTCGAGACCCGCCTGAACAACACAGTGAAACCACGTGTCTACTAAAAATACAAAAAATTAGCTGGGCATGGTGGTGCATGCCTGTAATCCCGGCTACTCAGGAGGCTGAGGCAGGAGAATTGCTTGAACCCAGGAGGCGCAGGTTGCAGTGAGCCGAGATTGTGCCATTGCACCCCAGCCTAGGCAACCAGAGCAAAAAACTCCGGAAAAACAAACAAACAAACAAACAAAAAACACCCTGGGATTTCCTCTAAGGAGATTCCTCTCTGCCTGAGTTTAAACTCTACCGTGTCCTGTTCACTGTGCGGCTACCAACACCTCTCATCATCTCAGCAGCCCCTGCAGCCATCCTCCTCATGAAGCCAGATACTCGAGGGTAAATTTTACACCTATCATGGAGTCTCCTTCTTTGGCTCCCTTCCCTCTCTCCTTTGGAAATTTCCTTATTGTAAAAGCTGCTCACCTTTCCACCCTGTGTTGTGTGCTATCTACAGTGATATAAAGGCAGTTGTTTTTAGATAAGTTGTCAAGGTTTTGTAATTCTTTGGGGTGAGAAGGCAAGTCTGTGATAGCTAGGTTGTGAGTTTGGATTTTAGATTGCATGTATTTGACTTCTGAGTGAGAACTCAACTTGCTACCATAAGGCAAAGAATTCAAAGTGAAGTTCTCACCTCATTTTCAAGCCATCTTCAGCCTAAACTCAATTTCCAAAGGGAAAGCTACAAAAAGAAGTAATTTTTAAATGATAACCATTCTACCTAAGGGTATCCTCTCCAGGGATATGCATGCATTTCTGTTCTTGCATTCTCTATGTCTATTGCTAGCCAGATATGGTCCCAGACACGTGTGACTAATTTCTTGCAGTGAATAAATTCTTATGATAACTCTGAGAAAAGTATACCTTATTACTCCCACTAGCAAATAATCAAAGTAAATTTCAACTAATCTCAGCTATCAAAGGAGCAGTAAGCAAGGGCTAAATGAGCAATCAAGGTTTCAAATTCCAAATTCAGGGTGCATTCCATTTCAGTACATTACTTCCTACTTCACTCCTGAATAATTTCCATTTTAAGATTCTTCTCATTGATATTAGTTAAAAAAAATCCGTAAAATTTAGGTGCACATTGTAAATGCACTGACATTTAAAGGATAATTTAAAAGGTAATGAAATAAAGGCAGTTTGTTGTTTTAATTTCATCATCCCTTTTTCCTATCTTCCATGCAGTCAAGTGTTATCCCATCACTACTAAAGTTGACTCAACCTTTTTTTATAGGTTATGTGATTTTCCAAGTAAAAACACATCATTTGTTTAAATCAATATAATGTTACAATTTAGTTTCAGTTTATATTTAGCCTATAGTTTTCTCTAAAACATTTCTAATTTTTAAAAAAGTTTTGTATTTAAAGCAGGAGATAATGTTATAATTAGAACTATTTTGAGAAAGGGATAGAGTGTTAGGGTATAGACAATATAATGTTTTATTTTTTAACATGATAGACTACCGTTATGACCTTTTTAAAGAATAAATACACCTCTCTCTCTCTCTCTTTCTCTCTCTCTCTGCATGTGCATGCATGCATCTGTATGTCTTCTTTTTTTTTCTGTTCTAAGAGTTGAAAGATCAAGAAAAGAAGGATGATAGAGAGTTAAACTTAGATAATAGAAGTTTAATAAGATCTTTCTTTGCACTTTTCAGAGTGGCTTTAATGAATTTTGTTTCAGTAACATAAGGAGAGTTGAAGTGTCACTAAGCCCCACACTTTGTCAGAAACATTTTATGTTAACCTGGTATGTGAATTAAAGGCAGCCTTAGATTTAGATGTTTCCTGTTTATTGCTGATCCAAGGAGTAAGCCTCGCAGCTCTTTAAAGGATAAATTCATTTTGGGTAAAGTTAGTTTCAGATTTATTACTCATTTAACCCCGGTACAGCACAAAGTGTTGAATAGAATGCAAATAAATAGAAAGTTCTGGGCTTGCTTCCAACTAAGTCTTTGACAAAAATGGCCAATCACCATGGGCAACCATGCTCCTCAGCTCCCTGGAAACCTACTTCTACCATAGGCTAATAATGCCTAGATGTCTTTTTCTGTCATTGTAAGCACTGGCAAGTCTCCAAAAAGGAGAGGGCATTAGACAAATGTACATTGACAAACACAACTACCGTCTTGTGCTAGTGGATGTGATATATATGGATTATTTTATCCACAGTGTCATATGGTCAAAGATACCAAAATACCAAGCATGCTCTGTTAAACCCATTTTTTGAATCACACTAAGTAGAGTCACAGAGTGAGCCCTGGCTGCAGCAGGAAGCAGTAAATAAGCCAGTACCTAAAAGGATTCACAGGGAGCTACATTGAAAGCTGCCTTGCAAATCGGGACATGGATAAGTCATGGCAGAGACCTGAGCAGACTTAAATGACAAAAACACCCTTGCCTTGGAATGCCTTCTACAGAATTCCATATATATCTGTCAGCAAGAGGGAGAATTTATATGGGAAACAGGACAGATGGCAGTGGCTAAAACAGTGGCCAACAATCGCGTGCTACTGTATCCAGGCAGGCATCCCAAACCTTGGCAGGGGAAGAAGTTGGCAATGATTGTCACTTGGCCTACTGCTACTAATGTCTGATACTCCTAAGCTAATGGTTGTTTCTTCAAATTGTGAGTAAATTAATGCTAATCAGGCAGAGAAATTTGGCTGCAATTGTTTTTCTAACCCCCCTATCAGAAGCCACTGGTGAATTGCAGTACTTGTGTTCTATGTATCTTTTTACATATATGCCACCCACAGGATTTCTTTATTCCTTCACTTTCAGCTGGAACATCCAAAAAGCTTGGAATTCATCACCCACATCTGTAGAACAAGAAAATGCTGAGCAAATTGAAAATGGGTGACTTTTCTTTGACATATCAGAGAAGTGAGGTTGCATGGGAAAGCACCATCCTGAAATCTGAAAGCGCAGGTGAGTTCAAAGAGTTAGAGCCTACTGGGCGCGGTGGCTCACTCCTGTAATCCCAGCACCTTGGGAGGTCAAGGTAGGCGGATCACCTGAGGTCAGGAGTTAGAGACCAGCTTAGCCAACATGGTGAAACCCCATCTCTACTAAAAATACAAAAATTAGCCAGGCGTGGTGGCAGGTGGCTGTAATACCAGGTACTCGGGAGGCTGAAGCAGGACAATCACTTGAACATGGGAGGTGGAGGTTGCAGTGAACAGACATGGCACCACTGCACTCCAGCCTGGGTGACAGAGTGAGAAAAAAAAAATAGTTAGAACCACGATGTGCTTATCTGCAGCAGAAGCCAAGGGAGCCAGACAGTAGTAGGAACACGTAAACAATCAATGGGGTGGATTGCTGGGATCTACATGTGAACTAGACTGGGAGTCCAAATCTCCTGTGTGGACACCTCTTCATCTGTGGCCAACACTTTTAGGGGCTTTACTTCTAGGAACACCGTTAAGTTCTTATAGGAAACAGTCAAGAGAGATCTCCAACTGGCATTGGAAGGAAGAGTAACTTTTGCGAAACACATAGAGAGTGAACTTTACAATAAAACTTACTCTCCGGTGACAGAGCCATAACCAGAGCCTTATCCCAGCTGTAGAAAGGCTTTATTCCCACTATAGCTCCCTCCAGCTTTCCTCTCTCACCAAAGAGGGCTGAGGGAGAAGCTCTGAGACTGGAAAAACAATTGTGATGGTCACAGCCCAGACACATAGGCCCATTAAAAGACACATTTAATCATAAGATGATAGAAGTCTCTCTTTCTGCATTTTACTACGACACTAACACGGGTCCCATCCCATCACAGTGGGTCTAAACCCAACTAGGTGCAAGACACAGACTGTTTCTCTTCCTCCCTCCCTCCCCCTCTCTTTCTCTCTTTCTCCCTCTTCCTCCCTCCCTCCCTCCCTTCCTTCCTTCCCTCCATGTCTTCCTTCCTTCCTTCCTCCCTCTCTTTTTTTTTTTTTTTGAGATGGAGTCCCGCTCTGTCGCCCAGGCTGGAGTGCAGTGGCACAATCTCGGCTCACTGCCAGCTTCGCCTCCCAGTTCACGCCGTTCTCCTGCCTCAGCCTCCCGAGTAGCTGGGACTACAGGCGCCCACCACCACACCCGGCTAATTTTTTGTATTTTTAGTAGAGAGGGGGTTTCATCGTGTTAGCCAGGATGGTCTCGATCTCCTCACCTCGTGATCTGCCCGCCTCGGCCTCCCAAAGTGCTGGGATTACAGGCGTAAGCCACCGTGCCCGGCCCTTCCTTCCTCTCTTTCTTTCTTCCTTCCTCTCTTTCTTCCTTCCTTCCTCTCCTTCTTTCTCTTCTTTCATTCTTTCCATTAGTTTGATCTGCATTTATTCACTCACTAAGTAAGAACTGATAATTGACCTGCTTAAGAAGGGTACCTCTTTCTTCCAGTTGTTCATAGGCTAATGTGGAAAGATCAGTCTCCATGGCTGCACTTACCCTGGTTGGTGGCATCCTCCCTACATGGAGATTGCTCACATTTGAGTACAGTCTCCATTTTTGTTTTCACTAGAATGACAAAACCTGCTCAACCATGCAAGTTCACGATTTTCCCCACTAAAAATCTCAATGTTACAAATAAAATAGCTATTTTGATTCGATTACGTGGGTGATTACACTTTCTAAACAAAACTCTTATGTAAACTAACAAATGCAATTCTAAAACCTACTTGGGGATTCGAAAACACTCCTCTTGATTTTAAAAGAATATTTTATGGAAATTAGAGAGGGCAGGCAAAAGGACTTTTATTCCTGACTGCCAGTAGAGTACCAGGTCAGTGAAGAACATCATCCAAAGAGCAAGAAGTCATTATTTCAAAATTTAATAGAATAAACTGCAAGTTGATCCATTTTAAAGTTTTCTTTAGCTTCAAAAGTCCTGTATCTCTTTTTGGGAATTCACTAGAAATGATACCTGCTTATTTTCTGCAGCCCTGGAATCATTTACCTTTATCTTATTCTTTTTGTACCAAACTGAGTTTTCCTGATAGAGAAATTGAGAGACCAGGGGAGTCATAAATATGTTGATAGTTTTTTAAAACTGTGTGAATTAGATGGTTTGATGTCCTAAGTTTACATTTGGAGGAATGATTTCTGAAATATGGAGTTGTTGCCCAGAATGGCAATATTACTTGTTAAAGCATCAATAATACCAGCTAATCTGTGTGTGTGTGTGTGTGTGTGTGTGTGTGTATACATCTGAGAAGCACTGTAGTTGATTTATCACTTAAATTCTGCATCACCAGGACAACAGCACACAATCATATACTCGATGGAAATACTGTCCTGAGAGTTTAAACATATGATGGGATGACTTCCTGGAATCTAATTCATATTAGAGCCAATCTTTAAATAGATTTTTGGGTTAGGTGCAGTGGTTCACGCCTGTAATCCCAGCACTTTGGGAGGCCCTGGTATGCAGATCACTTGAGGACAGGAGTTTGAGACCATCCTGGACAACATGGTAAAACCTCCTGTTGTATTTGAAGACTTTGAGTTAAAATAACATGCATAGGTGAATTCATTTATTGAACTAAATTTTTCTTGAATATCATAAATGCATTCCTCTCAAAACCTAATCCCCAACTTGCTACAACCTGAAAGTTAGCACTTAACTGGATTTGTGTATATAATCTTGTTATTACAATAAAAATCTAATATTTAAAATTATCATTCATGTGCATTATTCATTTGTAAGTATGACAAAATTCATTTATACGTTCTACTGTTGAGGGACATGACAAAGTATAATTGTGACACATTCACAGATGAATAGTGTGTATCAGTTTCAGTAACAATTATTGCAGATATTTTCTTAACTGGGGAATTATTCTTTCATCTCCCCTATGGTACCTACTGAAGAGAAGAGGTTTTAAACTTAATGTATTGAATTGGGTTGTGGTTAAGGCTAAGTCATGTTTAAGAACTTTTTCTCTTCCCCAAATTTGCAAAAATAGTATATTTTCTTTTAAAAGAGTAACAGGTTGTTTTTTATAGTTATGTCTTTAAAATGCTTTATTATAAGTTATGGCACAATGTAAAAATAAAATTTATCAATTTTTCATAATAATGACTAATTCTTTCAGGACTATTATTAAATTATTATTTTGCCACTGACGTGCTATTCCATGGTATTTATATCTTCATATGATTATAGATCTGTTTCTAAGTTATTGCTTCTCTTTCTCTGCCTTTGATATTCTATAATTTTACTGGATATATCTACTAGTGAATTTATTTTTGTTTGTCCTGAAGCATCCGTTGTGCTTTCTGTATCTTTGCACTCGTGTTTTAAGTTGTAAAAAAATTTTCAGTTATTATTGCTTTAAATAACACTTTTGCTTTATTTACCTTATTATCTCTTCCTGGACTTTTACTTAGCCAAAAAGTAGATATTCACCTTATATCAAATTAGTCTCTTTACTTTCATATTTTCTATCTTCATTTCTCTTTTTGCTAATTACTTATTATTTTTTCCAGACCCAATTTAGAGTTCATTGTTTCCACTTAACAGTGTCCAATTTGTCATTTAACACATCCATTGAGTTTTAAATTTAAGATAGCACAATTTTAATATATGAATGTTTCTTTCTTTTCCTATCTTTGTGTTTGCTTTTCAGAGCTCCATGTTCCTTATTTATTATTTTAGTTTCTAGTTTTTATTTCCTTAGACATTGTCTTCATTTTATAGCTGTAACTAGTATCTTATACCTTAATTCCTTCAAAGTCTAAATAAACAATCGTTTCAGACCCTCAGGTATGGCGGCTTTTTCATTGTGTGTTAGTAACTTTTTATTGTTAAATTGTAGTTGCTAGATTTTTATCTGCAGGAACATTGTTGGCTTAGCCCCTTTCAAAAGTCACGGCTTGACTCAGAAATTTCAAACTCAGTTCTTCAGATTTACGGCAGGTCCCAAGTATAGCCTGGTCAAGGTGTTGGCTTCTGCAAGTGTGTCAGGGGCGTCCCCTCTCTACTGCTGGTCCTTACTCTCTTTGATTGACTGTGTGGCGCTTTCTGTTCTTTTCAACTGTGTTTGTTATTTGGCTTTGAAGATGACATTCGCTTTCTGTGGCTGACGTAATAAATTACCACCGTATGAATGGCTTAAAATAGCAGAAATCTGTTTTCTCACTGAGGTCCAAAATGATGGTGTCAGCAAGGCTGCAATCTCTCAGAAAACTACAGGAAGAATCCTTCCACGCCTCTTCCACTTTCTGGCGGTGGTCATCATTCTTGTTTTCATATTTTAGATTCAGGGAGCAGATGTGCTTGTTTGTTACATGGATATATTGCGTGATGCTGAGGTTTGTGCTTCAAGTGAACCCATTACCCAATTCATGAACAAAGTATCTAAAAGGTGTTTGAGTCCCTCCCTCACTCCCCGCTTTTGGAGATGCCAGTGTCTATTGTTCCCATCTTCACGCCGTCATTCTTCGTGGCTGCATCTATCCTCTCTTTGCATCCATCTTCACGTGGCCTTCCGTTCTGTGGACACCTTCTCTTCTGTCTCTTATAAGTAGACTTGTCATTGGATATAAGGCCCACCTACTTAACCCACAATGATCTCGTCTCAGGATTAAGCTCAGCTGAGTTTAACTACATCTGCAAAGACCCTTTTTCCAAATGAGATCACATTACAGTTCTCAGGAGTTAATATGTAGATCTACCTTTTTGGGACCACCATTCAAACTAATACAGAGATTTCCCTTGGCTTCTATGAGATATGTCCTATCTTGGTTATGGTTTTATATTTTTAAGATTGCCCTTCAAAGCATACTGATCGTATAGAGCCCCTTTTTTAAAATTGCTTTCAGGAATATATGTTTTTGAGTCAGTATAATTTCAAACATCCTAACTCTGTCTGATTTTGGGCAAGACCATGGATAAGTGTAAATATAAATATATAGGTAGATAGATATGGCACCTTATTCATTTATTCATTCAATCAATGGACATTTGCCGTTTACTGAGGGCCCAGCTCATAGGCACTGTTGTACCAACAGAGAATGTAATAATAAATAGCATATCAATTTTCTTGCTCTAAATGACATTATATGCCAGTGAGTTTTAAGTGGTATTATTATATCATCATTATAAGTTGTACCTTGAGTACGTCATTATACCTTGAGTGCAAAGATCATCAACTGAATTTGATCAACTCAGCAATCCCACCAGACAGAAACTATTATTACTAAAGGAGGGACATCATTAATACTCTTAAACATGACATTATTTATAAGGTAAGGTTTTGGCTTTTAAATATCTTTGAGCTGATAACCAAAAGATATAAATTTTGATTTCAATTCTGCCACAGGAAAACTGGGTAACATTTGATCATGTCCTTTAACTCTACTGGGATTGAGATTTCATTCGTGTAAATGAGAAGTATGAGTTAGATAATGAGTCAAAGGCTTTCTAGTCTTGAAATGTTAGGTTAGTTGATAAAATAGACACTCAGGAAGATATGATATTTACAGATTAGATTAAATCCAGATACCATGGAGTTATGGAAAACATGATCTCTATTCCACTCCTGGGTGTATATGTGTGTGTTATCTGATCTTTTCAGCTGAATTTATAGCTGCTGAAAACTAAAATTTTGAATCTGGGAAAATAATAAATATCTCAAACCTTAGCAAAGGGCACAGATTTTACCAGTAGAATTCCATTACAATAAGCTTATTGGGAAGACCAAATAACTTTGGTGATATTTAGTAAAAGTTACAGAGAGCCATTGTTTCAATATATTTGACATTCACACCATACAGGAAAGCACAAAACAAAATCGAGAGTCACAAAGTCATAAGGCAAGGCTCACAGTGGTCTTCATCATAGTGACCTCTTCAGGAGCCTGTGCAATCAGCCCTCAGAGGTGTGCCTGTCCCTTCAGGACTCTTAGGTCTAGGAACTGGAGCTCCAAAGTCTGGCAACTTCTAACTCAATGATTTAAGTCTTATTGAGCATGCTTAACTCTCCTCCATCTCACTCCACTCCATCCCACGGAACATCCTGTATAAATATGCAGCTGGGCTGTCAGCTTGATGTTGGGATGTGACAGCTTGCTGGCAGCTAACAAGCCGCCCACTAGATGACAAGTTAAATGCTGTCCCTGTGAGTGATTATGTGGCCTCATAAAACCAGCAGGTGAAACATCATGGGACTTCATCACATGACAGGACTCTGGTATAACGTGATCATCTGCACAACCTATCACTGTGCTTATGGTAACATTTCCGGTTGTCTTTTATACAAAAATGCAAATTTTTAAATTCTTCTGTAGAACCCTAGTTTGATAAACCATGATAAAAATATATTCAGTATAGATCACCCTCTAGGTCACTAGACAGAGCTTGAACAAGGAAATGAAGAAATGTTTTATTAAGAATATTTAGCTTCACATTTGCTTTTGTAATAGTCAATCGGGCTTTTCACTGATTTCCAGTTTTCTCCTCGGGCACAAGGAAAACTGAACTCTTGGTCTTCTCCAGTTTGGCTGAGGCTATGGGACTAGTTCTGCCGTGTCTCATGAGAAACATGATGATTTGTAGAAGAAAAACCCTTCAAGCTCTCTATTATTTTTCTATTGACATTCTGGGTCCTGACTTGCCTTATTTATTTATCCAATATTGACTGAGAGTAAATTACTCATTTAGTCATTCAGTCAGATTTCATACACACACACACACACACACACACACACACACACACACCCCTCCATCCCTGCTAGGCAGTGTAGTATATGAACCCTGATCTTTGCCCTTAAGGAATTATATTTTAGATACATTAATAAGAGTAAGACTTTGGAGAGGATTGTGATGAAATACTCAGGATGCAATGACAGAGAATGACAGTGCCTGACAAAAAATAGCCACTTAATAAATATTAGTTGAGTGAATGAAAGTCTGAAGGAATGACATTTTAGAAGTGAGAAAGATGGAAAGAAGAGAACATGCTGGATAATGGGAATAAACGTAGAAGAAAACTCCAGAATCAGCCCACGTAGAGGGGTCAGTAGACATTGTTCTGTAAAAACATTATAGTATCACATGCATACAATATACAATAATATATTTTATAATAATGTCTAATATTATATTAAATATAACGTATTCTTACACATAAGAACATACAACATTATAACATTATAATATCTTATTGTGTAATACCTTGCAGTATATATTAATCTATAATAGTATCATAGTTATAATTATTGATATAAATAAATACCATTAGATATAACACAATAATGAATATATGATATATTAATATAAAGGTTAATATAATATTATATAAACCTTGTAAAAATTGTTATATGAAGACAGTATTTGTCCTCAAAAAGTTTTCAAACTAGAAGGTGAGAGTGAAAAGCAATTCAATAGTGTTAATTCAGTATGATGAGCATTACTCCCGAACAACTGTCATGGAAATCACTGTCAAATGAAAAGATGGAGAAACAAAGCCACTAATAAAAGAAGTATAGTGCATTAGAAAGTCATTAATTACTAGTATTTACTGGTGCTTGAAACATACCAGGCACTTTTCAAATTGCTTTAAATATGGTAACCATTTGATACTCATACATAGCAAGCCTTAGAAGCAGGTCAGTCATATTATCCCCGTTTTCTGGATATAGCAGATGAGTCAGAGCTGAGAGTTAAGTTCATGCAGTCTTGTTTTAAAACTTCTTAATCACATTGCAGTACAATCACTATAAATAGTTAATATTTTGGGGAAGTAGAGGATTTCTAAATATAAAGGACCATTGGATAAAGTCTGGAGAAGAGGCTTGGCCAAAGATATTTCAATGACCACAAGTAAGTCATACACATTTCATTTTCCACAATCATTTAATGCTTTTTCT